>NC_000007.14:96446172-96749203 GCF_000001405.40 Homo sapiens | reverse complement strand
TGAGTGAATTCTCATGAGATCTGATGGTTTTATAAGTGGTAATTTTTCCTGTGCTGACACACACTTACTCTCACCTGCTGCCATGTAAGACTGTGCCTTTGCTTCTTCTTTGCCTTCTGCCATGAGTGTAAGTTTCCTGAGGCCTCCCAGCCATGTGGAACTGTGAGTCAATTAAATCTCTTTCCTTTATAAATTACCCAGTCCCAGGTATTTATTTATAGCAGTGTGAGAACAGATTAATACAGGGGGTAATGCTGGCGTCTAGTGGGTGGAGGCCAGGGATGCTGCTAAACCTCCCTCAATGCACAGGACAGACCCCACAATAAGGAATCATCTGGCTCGTGCCAAGGCTAGTGCCAAGGCTGAGAAATCTTGCCCTAGGTATATACTGCTCCAATTGATACTCTCCCACCCTTACCCCCTCAAAGTCCCAAGACAGGGATTGTGTATTTCAATTTTGGATTTCCAGTACCTACAGTCAATACACATTTATTGAAAGATTGAATGAATGAATGAATGAATGAATGAATGAGTTGGTTCATAAATATTTAAACTACAGCGTAAACAGTTAACCAACCCTCTGGATGACATAGAGACCTTTAAAACCTAAGGCTGCTAACTTGGAGGCTGAAGTTTTGAAATCTACAAACTACTAAACTTTCATGTAAAATAATGTATGTGCATATTTGCATTTTTTCTGAGTAGAGGGCCTAGGTTTTAACAGATTCTCCAAGAAGTCTGTCATTCCAATAATGCTAAAAATCACATTTAAGACACCAGGTAAAATTTTTTGAGAATTAGAGCATCAGCTCCTCTTTCTAGAGGAGCGCTGGCTACAACCATCCATCATGAAAGGATTACATTGTGATGCAAACTAATTAACCCAAATTTAAGAATCACAAGTGCTTATTATTAGGCCCAGAGCCTCCTACCTTTGACTTTCTCATTATCGTGTTATCCTTCATGACGCTTAGGTCACATTTGCTGTGCTGATACATAGTTAGCCTTCATATATTGTATCCTCAGCGTTTTCTTAGCCAGTCTCATTCCATTTTGTTTCAAATTACGCATTCAGTTGGCCAGGACCACATTAAATTTTAATAGGGACATTAGAAATCATTTGTCCAATACAGTCGTCTTACAGATGACAAAACAGAGGCTCAAAAGGGTCAATTGCCGAATATCAGAGAAACTGCAAGAGGGTTAGGAACCAGTCTCTTATTTCCTGCTTTAGTATTTTGTTGTTGTTGTTTTTTAGTATATACACTAATGTTTTAACTATCATGACTTCTTGCCAATTTTTCATAGGCAATCTTGCTTCTTAAGAAAGTTTAGTTCGTATATATAATAGAAACTGCCTGCCCTGTCTTGAGATAGGAAGGAAGAAAGGAAGGAAGGAAGGAAGGAAGGAAGGAAGGAAGGGAGAAAAGAAGGAAAGAAAAAAGGTAGGAAGGACAATAAAAGAATAAAAAAAAAGAAAGAGAATGATGGACTGTCATGACTGAGTAAGAGTTACTGACCTTGGAAACAGATGCCAAAGAGTTTCTTGCACAATGAGTTTTGACAAATACTTCTTGGAAAATAAGGGTCACTGAAGATGTTCTTTTCTCTTAAGTGAAAACAGAACTTAGTAACAGAGCCACAGCAGGTCCTCCAGGCTGACTGTGCATTGATGTTTGATTTGGACAGCAAATGAACTGAGGTATTATACTGTGAGTTCCAGAGAACAGAAAAAGCATATACTATGTAGGCCAAAAATATCGGGCAGGTAAGCAAGTTCATCAGAAGGAGAGTAGCACCTTGCCTGTTACCAGGAAAAGGCGTGTCTCATCACATCACCCACTTTCTACCTAGTATTAACCCTTGAAATTCAGAATCTACTTATCTGCCCCATTACAGATATATACAAAGCATTTCCTATGAGAAAGAGGAAATACCTCTTAAACCTGTTTTTCTTTTATCATTTTGGCAATTTAGTTGCTATGTAATTTTCAACTAAATACTGTCCATCTTTAAAACTTGGTTTCCTCACTTGAAAAAAGGAAACCAAGGAAATAATACCACTTCATGAGGTATATGTGAGATGCTTAGCTACTGCATGGAATTTAGTAAATTCTGAATAAATATTAACTATTAACATTTGGGTACTTTTAGTGGGATTGTTTGGAGCGTAGCAGTACTCCAGCTAAACATTATATTTTTTCAATTTCTTGGGAAGTTAAATTCTGCTTGGAAACTGAGCTTTCTCTTTCAATAATGTAGATGAAACATCTTCTTGACGTTTCATATGAGAATTTAAACATTGAGCAAGAGGAGAAGTTTTGAGTTTAATTTCATGTTGGCAATCCGGTAGTCAAAATTGCTGCTTAATTAGATTCTTCAATTAACCTGTGCAAAAAAGGTTTGATACAAAAAGTGGATACATTTTGACTAAATTAATTTGAATTATATCTGGGTTTTGCAAGTTACTTTTCAGCATTTGATATTACTGATTCTCTAAAGTTGTTGGGGAGTAAAGTGATGGAGTGGGGCGCTTACTGTGCAGAGAATTCCAAGGAGAAGAAGCAAATAAAAGCACAAGCCAGTTTTCAACTGCTTTAATTGATTTGACTAGTGGTTATATATAAAAATAAACACTTCCAGGTAAGGCTTTAAAAACAGTTTTGCCTGGTTTGGCTCTTTCAGTGTGTGTGTGTGTGTGTGTGTGTGTGTGTGTGTACGTCCTGTACTCGGGGATTATGGGATAATTTGTATGAACAATTAGACAACTAGGCATTGGGGATTCTTTTTTTCCTCCTGGACTCCCGAAACATAGTTGTATGCATGACACTTTTGGGTCCTTGGATCTAGGCAGCTCTTCTGTCTTGATTTACTTCTAATTCTCCCCCTTTCAACCCCAATGCCCACTCCACCAACAGACAGCCACTCTAATAGTCACTCTTAATTTGTGTAATTATATCCTTTGATATGCATATATCTTTGAAAACTGTATTAATATGTCCACTGCTTTGGTAACCTAACACAATTTTTAAAAATCTATCCAGTTGCTGTATGTACATCTAGTGTATTGCTTCTAACTACCGTATGGAATTCCAAATAATATGCATCTGCTACGTTTTATTTATACATTTCCTATTGATTGGATCTAGGTTGCCTCTAAGTCACTTTTACACATACCACCTCACATGAATATCCTCATATGTGACTATTTATGGGTCTGTGAAAATATTTTCTAGGGTATAAGCTCAGGGGTGTGACTGATAGGTCACCAAATAGAGAAAATATATGCATATAATTTATATGTTTATATACATATGCATGTAGATGTGTACAAATACATAGTTTTCTCTAACATAAGTAATGACAGATTACTCTCCCAAATGGCTATTCCTGTTTCCATCCCTACCAGCAGCACTAGGATTCCTGTTTCCTCCCAGATTTCACCAACACTTGGTATTATCCCATCTAATTTGTACCTCTCTCATTAGTAAAACATGATACAATTTGCTTCTTCACCCCCTCCCCACCACCCTGATTACTAGTGAGGTTGACATCTCTTCACATACCCATTAACTATTTGGATTTTCCATTTCGTGCATCACTTCTGTAGCCATGTTTTTTTTTTCCTCTGTGTTTTCATTTTTGTAATTTCTAGGAAGTGTTTGTTTATTCCAGTTTTGGGGCTAGCAAATATTTTCTTCCAATGACCTCTCTGTTAGCCTTGCGTATGGTGCCCTTCAATGAAGATAAACTCTTAAATTTTACATAGTTGTAGCCATCAGTTTGGGTCAGTATTTTTTGTGCTTCTTTGATCCAAGAAGTTGTTCCTCAATATTAAATTAGAAAATAGTCTTTTAAATTTTATTTTATTAGCTTTTTAGTTTTGCCTTGTACTTTTTCATCTTTAATTCATTTGGAGTTCACCTTTTACATATGATGTAAAATACAGTCACTTTATTTTTCTCTATATAGTAAACCAGATTAGCCAGCATCATATATTAAAAATCCATTTTTATCCACCAATTTGTGATGCTTTGCAATCATACACCAGGTTTGATATGTACAGGAGTCTGTTTACAAACACTCTGTCCAATTATACTGGTCTATTCGTCTATCTTTGTGCAAATACCATGTTGTCTCCATTACTAAGAGTCAATGGTGTGTCAAAGTCTAAGATTAATCAACCTGCTTTGCTCTTATTTTTTCAAAATTGTCCTAGCATTTGGGAACTTTTATTCTTCTATGTACATCTTATATTAAGTTGGTTAAATTTCTAAAAACATCCTGCTAGAATCTTATTAACATTTCAAATCAATAGTAGGAGAAAAAAGGTTACATTGTCGTGCAACAAACATTTCATCTTTCTATTTACTCAGATTTTTTTTCTTCTTTTTTAATAGAGTTTAAAAATTTTCCATGAAGGTTTGTGCATTACACACAAGTTACCTCCTAGGCACCATAGTTTTGTTGTTACTATACATGGTGTCTTCTTTGTAGTAATGTTTTTTGCTAATTATTGGTGGTTGAATTTTTTAAACTGATTTTGTTTGGCAAACTTGCTAAACTCTCTTAATCCTCCTAATATTTTGTCTACTAATCCCTTTGAGTTTTTCATGTAGATATAAGAAATGGCAGTTGTTTGATTCTTTCTAATCCCACGTCTCTTATTTTGTTTTTTAATGTTGTTTGGCCAGGACTTTTGATATCATATCAAACAATGGTGATTATAGCAGCCAACCTTCAAAGTTTCTTTATTAAGTATAATGCTGACTAGAAATTTTTAACAGATAGGCTTCACCTAGGGAAAAGAGTTTATTTCAAATAATAGGTCTTTTCAGTAGTTTTTATCAAATTCTTTTTCCATAGGTATTTGAATAATATAGACCTTTTCTCTTTTAGTCTCTTAATACATATTTTCATGTTAAATCATCTTTGCATTCCCAAGATTATGCTTGATTATGATATTGTTTTTTAATATACACTGTTTGATTCCATTAGCTAATAGTTTAATTTATAATTTTCTCATCTATGTTCATAAGTGAAATAGACCTACTTTTTTTTTTCTTGCACTCTTTTCATCTGGATTTGAAATCAAGGTTTTACTGGCTTTACAAAATTACTTAGGCAGCTTTTCCTCTTTTTCTATTTTCTGGAATAACTCATATAAAATTTAACAGTTCTGTAACAATTTGGTAAAACTCAACTCCAAAATTGTAAAAATGCTTTGATTACCATAAAATATTTCATTGCATTGGTCCATTAAACTTTTCTATTTCTTCTTGTGCCAATTATACATTTTATGTTTTTTCTCAAAATTTATATATTTTACCTAGGTTTTATCATTGTTACTCTCTATTTCATTAGGTTTTTTTCCCTCTTTATCCACTATTTTTTCTCCCTTTTCCTTTCAGTTTATTCTCTTGCCCCTTTTCTAGCTTTCTCAGTTGAATTCTCAGCTCATTTGTTTTCAGACTTTCTTGGTGTTCATAATAAATGTATTTAAATCTTTTAAATTTCTTCTATATTCCACATTAGCTATACTTTGATGGCCTCCTACTCATCTTGTTGGAGAGATGAGATTGACAGCAGTATGTCAGTCACATGTCATCACAGCCTTGGAGAGCACACCACACATCATGCTGAGCCACAGAGAGTTACCCTAGGGGACAGAGTGAACAAGCAGGGACGTGGGAGGCAGGCTTTATAGCAGCGAGAGGGTGAGGTGACCCCTGGTTCCCACAGGAGGATGTGATTGGCTTGTTTGAATAACTTCATGGGCTGGTAGGGGAGTGAAACCCATTTGGTTAAAGACTAGGTGGGGTGCAGCATCTATCTGCTGGTCTAGCTGACTGATGAACTGGCTAGGTGGGGAGTCTTTCCCACTGGGTGGTACAGCATATCTGGTGAGAGCAGGAAAACTCATGGTTAGGCTTTTGAGGTCCTCTCGTTTCAGATGTCAAGGCAGCATATAGTATTGAATATTAATTTCAGGCCTCACACCATAAGCTGTATCCCAGAAATTTTGATATGTGGTGCTTTCTATGTATTTTATACATTCTGTTATGATTAAATCTTTAACCTAAGAGTTAGTTATATGTATTTATGTAGATATATATGCATTTATGCATGTATGTAATATATGTATGTATTTAGTTATATATATGCATGTATGTATGTAGTTATTTAATTATATATATGTTTGGTTTCCTCACATAAGTCATTGCTAGAGTGATTGTTTTGCATTTTTACCACCTAAATTCATTTCATTATGTGCAGCAAATGTAGTCTGTGTGATGCTGAATTTTTGGAATTTGTTGAAGAATTTTCTTCCTTTGTGGCATAATCAATTTTTGTGTGTTCCATTTGTACTTTAAAAGAATACGAATTTTTGTTTGTTTGATGGGTATACAAATCTATAAATATTAGTTCAAATTTATTATGTTGCTTAAATCTTTTAAATCATTGCTTACTTCAGACTCTTTGTGGGTCAATTACTGAGAATCATCTTAGGAACTCTGGCTTCCTCGCCCAACTTTTAATGCTTTCTTATTTGCCTGATACATCTTATCTTTTATTTTTAATTTTTTTTGAATCTTTTTATTTTAAATCTATCTTTTTAAAAGACACATTGCTCGTGTTCTGTTACCCAGCCTGAATATTTATGTCTTTTGATTTGTGAATATTTATTATAATTATTATTCTGTTAGGACAAATTTCTACTATATAATTTTATGTGTTCTCTTATCATTCTTTCTACATTTTCTTTCTTCTTTTTTCTCTATTATATCAGCTATCTCTTGTGCCCTGCACACACTCTTCCTTCCTCTTACTCCAGGCCTTCCTGGGGTGATCAACTTTTCATTGGTATAACCTGACAGCACTGCCTCACCTGCATCTTACAGCTCTTGCTTCTTGCTTATTATTCAATACGCCTCCCTTTATCAACCCTTGGGAAGAAAATTGTGAGAAACATTTTCCACAGTTCCTTAATGCATCCTTGTGTTAGTTTTTCCTCCTTTCCTTCCCTGTTTCATTCACTCTCTTCTCCACTCCTGTTCACTGGGATCGCTTTCCAAAATAAACTATCTATATAAAAGCCCTTGTCTCATATTCTGCTTTTAAAGAGATTTCCAGGCTAAGGCTCCCAAGTTCCTCAGAAATACAAGATTTTCTTCAGCTGGTTTGAAAGTTATATACTTTTATTTTTCATTAACAATTTATTAAAACTGATGCTTTTGTCATAAATTCGTATATCTATAACTGCCATTCTCTCCCTTCCAAGAAAATAGGTGACTTAACATGTCCTCACTATTCTCTGGTCACCCTGTTTCTGGTCATTTTAATATCACATAGAATTTTAGTTTGGAATTATATTAATTAGATGTATCTCCTTTCTCTTCCTGATCCTTGAATTTCAGTAGGAAATCAAACTTTACTCCTTATATATCTCTTAGCATCCTCCAAGAGCAATTTCTCTTTCTACTGAAAATATTTGTCCAAGGGTGTCTTAAAGATAATCTTATGTTATAGATTGTCTCAGCCATGTATCACTGAGAACATAAAACACTAACTTCAAAGACTTTTTCCTTTAACACTTTGTGTTAACCAGTAATACAAATACTACTCTATTGCCTTCTTCCACCTAGGGTTGCTGTTGAGAAGTTTGATAATAATAGTTAACACTTAACAGAATGCTTAGTATATACAAGGGAGTGTTCAAATAATTTACATGTATTAAGTCATTTAATGTCCATGATGGTAATTTCATTCTTCTTCCTTTGTAGTTAGAATCCCCTATTCCGTTGTCCCCCCACCCCCATTTTGAAAGCGTGTAGACTTTTTCTTTCCTCCTTGATGATCTTATATGTTAGCATATTAAGCATAGGTGTGATTTCATTTTTTCATCATTCTATTTTACCAGTTCCTGAGTCTTTTTACTCTAAGGTTTTTTATATTTAAGTCTGAAAAATTATTGTTCCTTGATGCATTCCTCCATCTTACTATCATTATCTTGTTCACTATCTCCTGAAATATTTCTTTTCCTCTATTTATTCATTACCTCTTCTCAAGACTCTTGAACAAATCCCAGCTTTTTTAAAACTTCTATCCTCTGTATTTATTACCTTTCCTTTTGCATTTTCCTGCCTACTGCTTCCCGACAGAGTTCCCTAACTGATCTGTTAGTTCACTAATTCATCTTCAGATATAATCAGTTTTTATTTCAACTCTCATATTTTATGCCTAGTGTTTTTCACTGACTCATTCTTATAATGATTTGTGTCTCTTTCTTATTCCCAATAATCTTCCCTATTTCCTTGAAAATTTTTATTATGATTAAACATGCTTGTTCTATCTGATACATTAACAGTGCTTCATTTAGTACAGATTGTTCAGTTTATCTTCCTTCATGGTGCTTGTGCCTCAAAGAATTGCTACATTGGCTGGTAACATTTCCAAGTGGAAGCAGCAAACACCTAGACCCTATCTGTACCCATCAGAGTATATTTGGCCTTGGGGAGAAGACTCTCTTCAAAGAATATCTCTAGTGTTATAATTCATACTCTATCACTCACTCTGCTTGTTCTCCCTACCACCAACTAGAGAGCCTAACACAAAATCTTCCAATAGCTTGGCCAATGAAACTGCTCTTTGTCAAAAGCTACCTCTCTGAATTGTAATCACCTATCCCATGGCATATTGAAAACAGAAGGGGAGAAGGAGGAAAGAAGGTTTGAGGGCTGGTCTTGCATGTATGTTTCTATTGCTTTCCACCGAAGCTAGCAAGCTCTTCCCAGGTGGCTCTGATGCAGAACACAGGAGGGCCCTCTGCTCTGGGCTGCACTCTCACATCCAGCCTAACTCCCTCTGTCACCCCAGGAGCTTCTCACAGTTTTCATGTCGGGTTCTCACATTCATCCACCTTTCCCCCTCCCTTTTGGCATTTTCGGGAGCTGATTAGGGGGAAGTCAGGATGTAGAGCTAGTTCTTGACAGGGCCAGTGATGTACTTTCTGGGAACTCCTAACTGCACCCCAGTCCTCACTTATAAAATGTGCCTAAGAAAACATGTTTGCGCAGAAATATGCTCAGGCTGAGTGTTTCATCCAGAAAGTTTAGTCCTACAATGGCAGAAGCAGTATTTCACAATCTTAAGGTAGCAATTTTGTGCCAAGATATGTATCTTTTAGAAGGAGCATAGCTAGGGCAAAACAGCCTGATGGGCCTTGACCAAATCATATACCTCAGACATATTTGTGGGCCTATAGTAACCCTATAAAGAATTTTTCATTCATTCCTTCTTTCTTTCCTTCTTCTCTCTCTCCCTCTTTGACTCTCTCCCTCACTCTCTGCATGTAAAATAATCAGAAGCTGTTTGCTCACAGCACTGTGAATCCACACAGTGGGGTGCAAGTGAAAGCAGATTTGCAGCAGGAAGTTCGGTGGAAGGGCAGAGAGAAACACTATCCTACATGGTCAGAGGATTATATCTAAACAAGGATGACTGATTTGACTCTGAAATTAAAATGTTACAATGCAATTTTTCCAACAACAAAAGGTGATTCTTACAAGCAAAGCACTCTATGGTTCTTCTTTGCTCTTCTAATTATAATGACCCCTCCAATTTCTATCATTAATGTGCCTCTTGCAAGAAGCAAGCCAAATAATTGAGTAAAGACACTCAGATTAGTTACTCCAAATTATCTCTAGTCTACAGAAGAAAAAAATAACAGAAATCTACAATTTTTATTTTCTTCCTAAGTGAAAATGTACAGGGAACTATTCAGAAAATGTTATTTTATTTGCATTCTGCATTTATGTAAATCCACAAGTATAAATGGTTTTCAATGACATCATCCTCCCTCCTTTGTGAGTAGATAATAACTGACGGTACACTTTCCAAAAGGAGGATTTCACCAAATAAGGGGCAAATGCTCAAAGCAGCATGCACAATGAATAGAAAAATAAATTTACCCCAAAAGGGAAAGAGTATATCTAAGTAAGTGCTTCTTAGGAATACTACTGTTATTCATTTACTTCAAATTTTCTTGTTCAGATATTCCCAATGTATTCAATAAAGAAAATGGTTTAGAACCTCTGGTCCAACAAATAAATTTAAAATGGGAATAAAGAGGGGCCAATAATCCTGGTTTCTTATAAGACCTCTGCCTGGTATCACTCTGCACCCTCCATCTAGATTCTTCCATGGTCAGCAGGGAAAACAGAATCATCCATCTACAACACATAATGCAACTCTCCCTGTGCTTCAAAATGTACCAAATAGCAGGGACAGCTCCAGGAGGCAGACAGTAGATCAAGGAATTGTCTGTCAAGATGGAATAAACACTAGGAATTGTTAATGCTAATGGTAGCAATTTTTCCTAGAGTTACCCAGAATTAGAATCCAAAGATTTATGAGCAGCTTGGTAATAACAATATATTGATCGATCTTTCTTTTTTGCCATCATATATACCTATGTCTTCCCCTTCTCGACAAAACAGCCCTACCCCAAATTTAGTTAACTCAGTTGTCCCTTCTGGCTTTTATTCCACTGCATTTTTATTGGAATGCAGCCTCATTTCTAAACTCTAACTGGTGCACTTACATCACTTTCATTTCTACTTTGCCTACAACCTCCTTATTTTCTGCAAACTAGTTTCCTTTCCTCCTCCTTTCCCACACCTTCACCTTCACATATACGGGCAGTCTTAAGCCCACAGTACTGAAACACTCAAAGGTCACTAAAGATTCCTCTGTGATAGAATCTAATGGCAAGTATGTCATCCTCTTTTACACTTATCTATCTGTAATATTTGATACTATTGACCACACACTGTACTTCTGGAAAAGATAACTGCCATTTAGTAAGAGTTCACTATAGTTAATATTGCGTCATGCACAATATTAAGCACTTTACATGCATTAATCTTTGTATTTTTCAAATGCCCACCTAAAGTAAGGACCATTATTATCTCCATTTAAAAAATAAAGTAGTGGGGTCGAGAGAGGTTAAGTAATTGCTCAAGGTTCCCAAGTAGTAGAGGAAGATTCAATCCTAGGTCCTACTGACTCTAAGCCCATGCTCTGCTTACCACATTGATACCACTTCTCACAATGTGCTTTTACCCCTTTACATTTATAACCCCATTTTCCTCTGGATCCTCTTCCCTGACCCCCTTACTTTTAGGCATTTTCTGGCCCCATCCTTGGCTTTCTGCTCTTCTTCCTGTCTACTGTGCTTCAGGATTTCCCTAGAGTGCTATTAGTCATCTCAAGCTGCCACAACAAAATACCATAGACTGGGTGGTATAACCAACACATGATTATTTTCTCACAGCTCTGAAGTTTGGAAGTCTGAAATCAGGGTGCCAGCAGGGTCGAGGAGAGGGCTTCCTGGCTTGCAAACCATCACCATCTCACTGTGTCCTCACATGGCCTTTTCCTCAGGGTGTGTATGTGTGTGGACAGAGTGCGCACTCTGGTGTCTCTTCCTCGTCTTAGAAGGCCACCAACCCTGTCAGATTAAGACCACCCTTGTTACCCCATTTAACTTTACCTCCTAAATGTTCTATTTCCAAATACAGTCACATTGAAGGTTAGAACCCAACATATGAATTTGGGAGAAACACAATTCAATCCACAACAAATCATGACTTAAAACATCCTCTCCTGTCCTCTAATTCATGTTCCCTCTCCTTAGCTCTAATTTCATACTATGCCTTTCTGTCGTATCTTCCACCAGCACTTCAAATTTAGCAAGTCCAAAATTCAGTTTCTCATTTTCACTGTCATGGAAATGTCACCACTCTTCGCTCACTTCAGGTTTAAAAACTTGGAACTAAATTTTGAACTATCTCTCTCTTTCAATCTCAGTGTCTGTTATTACCAAAGAACTGTGAATTTGTCCTTCAAACAATGTCTCAGATTCATTCTCTCTTTGGTTTCTATGCCAGGATCACATCCTTATCCCCTGTATGAGTTACTATTGCTGTATAATAAAATACCCAAAACTCAATCATAAAACAATGATTTAGTATTAATCATGTGTTTGTGGCTGGCTGGGGGTTAGCTGATATAGGTTGGGCTTAGCTGGTGCTCATCTGCTCCTCAGTTCTCTTTGCCGGGTAGCCAAGGCATGTTCTCTTCTTGGTGATCACAGAAGCAAGCTCAATCACGCAAGTGCTTCTCAAGTTTTGTTCACATTATGTCCACTACCATTCTAATAGCCAAAGCAAGTCACATGGTCAAGTTCAGAGCAAAGATGTGGAAGGCACAGGGTGAGAGAAAAAGGGAGTGAATATTTGGAACAGTAATTTAACCTATTACATCCTCTTATTCATGTATTACAGCACAACAATCTTTTAGCTGCTTGTGATGACTATAATAGCATCCTTGTCCAATGTTTCCTTTATACAATTCCCAGATTAATCTTCCATAAACACCACTTTTATCATGTCACACATCTGTTCTAAAATCATGTATGGGTCGCTATTTCTAACTACACTATATCTAAAGTATTTTTTCTGTCTTTTAAAACCCTTCATCATTTGACCTGTCTCCATTTCCTAAACATACATCCTCCTTTCTAATCAAGCCAGACTCTTCAGTGTTTCATGAACATTCTTCATCAATTCTCATCTTGGTAGTGTTGTTCAGACAGTTCCTCTTGCCCCACATACTCCCTTCTCTCCCCAGCCTAATTACATCTCCTCCACAGAATTTCCCTAGGTAATTTTTCCTAACTTATCTCTTTTTTATGCTAGTGAATCAACATGTTACTTCTCCCAGAGAAGACTTGTGTTTGTTTATTCATTCAACAAAGTTTTATTTAGTACTTACTAGGTGCCAGCATTGTACTAAATGTTGGAGGTAACACAGTGAAAAGGACCCCAGTCTGTGACCACGTGCTAGCTGACAATCTCTTGGGAGAAATTATGGCATGGTCATGCTGCATAGGGATGAACATAAAGTACACAGGAGTGGTTTAATCCTTAGTGGACTATGAAAAGATATTTGAAGCATAAGTTCTCTATGCCAAAACCTGTGTGATGAAGAAGAGCTGATCAGGTGAGAAGGGATTAGTGAGAACCATTCGGGTAGAAGGAACTAAGGCAAGAAAGAGGCAGCATGTTTGGAGAGCTGCCCATAATTCAGAATGGCTGGAGAATTCAGTGTGAGACAGAGATGGGGACATAAGGCTGGAGAAGAAAGCCTTTTCTAAGGAATCTGAAACTCACATTGAGGGCAGGAGAGTAGTAAATTAGTATGTTTAAGCATGGGCGTGACATGATCTGATAGTATTTTAAAAGATCACTTTTAAACAATAGAGTGAAGGGAGTCAAGAGGAGAAGCAAGAAGACCAGTTCAGAAGGCTGTTGTAATAATCCAGGAGAAATATAAATGTGGATCATACTAAGGTAGTGGAGAAAAGCAGATTTCAGAGGCATTGGAAGTGGATTTAACAGGACTTGGCTATTAAATGAAATAAGGCTATGAGAGAGAAAAGTGTCAAGGTTTTGCCAAGTTTGTGGTAGAGGCAAAGTAAATAGTGGTGCAACTAATTCAGGGAGCCTAAAGGAAGGTGGGGAGAAGTGAAGAGGAGGGCAGGACAGGATGAACAGGTAGATGATGGGGGATGGGGGCGTGTCACACGTTAACACTCCTTAAAGAATGAGACTGCTTTCTGATATCACCAAGCAGGCAAGTAAGGAGGATCTTCTGGCACCCCTGAAATCACTCTACATTGGTGGCCACCTATCCTGCCTGTGAGTGGAAGTAGGCTCAAATCAGAATGGGCCTAGGAGGAGTGCTATGGTCCAGTGTTATCTGAGATCCAGATCAACCAGGTTGTAGTTCTTACAGGTGGGTCACAAAGTCACTGAAGATAAGATCATGGGTCTCTGAACTCCCTTTACTGGATTTAGAATAGTGATGGTTGCAACAATTTCTCATTCCACCACATCCATTGGTGGGGTTCCTGAGAGATGCAGCTCATCCCTACTCATTTGATGATGCCAAACTAATAGTGCTTTTACTAAGCAAGAAATAAAAGACAAGTCCAAAAAAGTTACAGCTGGATTTGCATTTTAACAAATTTCATATTCCTTTTGAGGAAACTGAAATTAAATATTTATTTTTTATATCTTGAGAAATAAAATTTTCTTTGCTGGGAAAACAATCTGGATATATATTGGATCTTGAAAATGCAAGCAGACTTACAGGGTTTTTATATTAGTATCAGTGATACTGGAAGTTTGCCCCCAAAGAAAGCAGTGCCCAGAGAAATAAGAGCTACATTCTTAAGTGAGAGAACTGTGTACTTACTTGATGGTTTGCAATGTATGCAATTACTGGGTAGCTCAGCGATCAAGGCCCTTAGCAGTGCAAAAGGCTATTAGATTACCTACCACTACCCCAATCAGGGTAGAATTCTTCTTTCTAGTATGTTCATAAGGACTCTGTTCAGTCTAGTTTTAAAGGTCTTAAGCTTGGAGGCTTTAATCACCTCCATTAGAAGACTCTTCCCTACTATCATAGGAAGTATGTCCTTAGGGGAAATTCACTGACACTTAACCCATATTTTACCTGTTATAATGTCCTATTACCCTAATTAATACCTTCTCTGAGCCTTTCCTTGTGACTCATCCACCATGCATCACGTCTTCCTCTGCAGTGTTTTTGCCATTCAGATTCATTGCATGTGGAGAGTTAACCTGTGTCTCTAGTCAGTCCTAATAGTTAGGAAATGTTTAAGCCTGCAGTACTAATAAATCAGCTTAACGTATAATTAGAGGCTTAACTCTGTGAAGAGAAGGTATAACCCATTTGTTAATAATATCACTTAGGCCTTTTGAAAACATTCTTGCCTAAAATAACTGAATTGATTTGGGAACTAGCCTTGAACAAAATGTGAAAATAATTGCCTTCTATGACATTATGAGCCCAGTTCCTTCAACAAAAGTGTAGAGCTAAGAATGCTCCGTAGCTTTCTGTCAGTTATTCCAGAGGCAAATAGATTATTAGCTTCCACAAAGTTGATTAAAATTCAGATTTATAGTCGGGAATGTGGTGTGAGTCTGTAGACCTAGCTACTCAGGAGGCTAAGGTGGGAAGATCTCTTCAGCTCAGGAATTTGAGGCTGCAGTGAGCTGTGATTGCACCACTACACTCAGCCTGAGTGACAGAGTGAGATCCTGTCTCAAAAAAAAAAAAAAAAAAAATCAGATTTAACTAAAATCGCCAATATGCTAGATGCTTTCATTTAATCTGCCGCATTATAGTCATTTTGTAGATGGCTACACCAAGGCAAAGAGAAGTTAGAAACCTGCTCAGCACCACACAGCGGAAAGTGACAGATGCAGAATATGCACCTGAGTCTTCTGACTCCTAATCCTGAGCTCTTGAAATGTCATTCACCTGACTGGAGACAGTAAGATGGTTACTTTTGGGGCTTGAGTATCTCTACCACACCACAAGACCCTAGGAGAATATCTGTTTTGTATTTTCTCTTGTACCATAAAGAATATAGGCATGATATTCCTGCTAATTCCTCTCATTGGACAAGGAATTTTGTGGGCATTTGGATGGAAAATTGTTGGGCATCCACCTAAAAGCCTCGATTTGATTCATTTTGGCTTCTTTTTGTTTTCTAATTTTTAAAAAATCTTTAAATGGGGTCTTTTTATCTTTAGTTAATAATGTAAAAGAGACTGCATTCACATAGATCCATTTCCAGGACCCTTGGTATTTAGGATTGGACTGAATGACCAGTATCAACATTTACAATGGTGTCTTGAAATTGATGGCCTTTTGGGGGATTTTTTAAGATTGGAGGTTAAGGGGAAGTTGAGGGAGCCAAGTCAGGATTCTAGGGTGGATGCCTGATGATTTCCCATCAAAATGGTCACAAAATTTATTGTTTGATAAGAGAAATGAGCAGAAACACAGCCTTTTCAAATGGATGGAGCTTATGTTAAGAAATAAATTTTTCTTTAAAAAAAAAAAAGAACATGGGCATGAGAACAAGCATGCTCATGGATGTAGAAAAGCCATGGAATTCCTGGCTCTTATGAATGGGAAGTAGCCAATGCCTCCCCACTCAGTTTACTTCATATTACCCCTTTGTATGCTGTTGTACATGTGGCCATTTCCTCCTCTGGTCCTATCACAAACACCTAACTGGGTATCCCATTTATGTACTAGCCTGGGACAAGAAGATATGAATTAAGACAAGGTAGGAATGAGCTCTGAGCTCTTTCTCCATCACCATTTCTGGGTTCAGCCTTTCCTGGGGTCAAGAAGAGGGAGAACACAACCACTTATTCATGCATGGCAGAAGGGAATAATTCTTCTCTACCCATCCCACATAACTTCCAGAGAATTATCTATCATTCTCAGACTCCAAGTAGAGCGAAGATCTGTTCACATCAACCTTCCTCACATTAATGCAGGAGGAAAAGAAAGGTAGGGGGCTGGGTGCAGTGGCTCATGCCTGTAATCCCAGCACTTTGGGAGGCCAAGGTGGGTGGATCACCTGATGTCGGGAGTTCAAGACCAGCCTGGCCAACGTGGCGAAACCCCGTCTCTACTAAAAATACAAAAATTAGCCGGGCATGGTGGCATACACCTGTAGTCCCAGCTGTGGAGGTTGCAGTGAGCCAAGATTGCACCGCTGCACTCCAGCCTGGGCGATAGAGTGAGACTCCGTCTCAAAAAAAAAAAAAAAAAAAAAAAAAGAAAAGAAACAAATAAAGGTAGGGTCCCGAGAGCTCTCCTGGAGCTCATTTTGGGTCTGGGGTGAAGGCTTAGAATCAGGATGGTGCTGCTACTTCCACCTTAGCCTTGTCAGTAAAGCGCTTAGAACCAGATCTAGGGGTGCACAAGTCTAATGCACTAAGTTGTGTGCCCCATGACAAGTGGGGAGGGAATGGAGCAGGTCCAGGCAGGGCAAATCAGTGTTTGCTACCTGGGTACTTGTAACCAAATGGGCTACAGGGTCTGCTTCAATTCAGCTAGATATTTTCTTATCGAACGACACCTCCCCTGAAAAATCATATTATGAATAATTTTGTATTCAAATATAAATTAGTTTAAGAAATAATGGAGTTATACAGGGACTAGTTTCTAAGGTAAAAAGTACAATTACAGTAGTGACCTCTTATTCTCAGTTTTTGCTTTTCTTTTTTTTTTTTTTTTTTTTTTTGATACGGAGTCTCGCTTTGTCGCCCAGGCTGGAGTGCAGTGGCGGGATCTCGGCTCACTGCAAGCTCCGCCTCCCGGGTTCACGCCATTCTCCTGCCTCAGCCTCCCAAGTAGCTGGGACTACAGGCGCCCGCCACTACGCCCGGCTAATTTTTTGTATTTTTAGTAGAGATGGGGTTTCACCGTTTTAGCTGGGATGGTCTCGATCTCCTGACCTCGTGATCCGCCCGCCTCGGCCTCCCAAAGTGCTGGGATTACAGGCGTGAGCCACCGCGCCCGGCCTGCTTTTCATGGCTTCAATTACCTGCAGTATTAAATGGAATATCCCAGAAATAAACAATTCTTATGCTTTAAATTAAACATTGTTCTGAATAGTTTGATGAAATCTCTCTCTCTCATGCTCCCTCCCACCTCGATTTATCCACGCTGTCTACACTACCCACATGTCAGTCGCTTAGTAACAGTCTTGGTGATGAGACTGACTGTGGTGGTATCACAGTGCTTGTGCTTATTTTACTTTTGTTACAGTCTGTTGTTAAAATTGTTCTATCTTATTATTAGTTATTGTTGTTAATCTCTTACTCTGCCTAATTTATAAATTAAACTTTATCATAGGCATGTATACACAGGAGAAGTCATAGTAATCTAGGGTTCAGTACTATCTGTGGTTTCAGGCATGTACCGGGGGTCTTGGAACATATTCCCATGGATAAGAGGGGACTACTGTGTCCAAATTGGCCATTAAAATACTAATACCTTCAGGGGCCCCACACTGGAGACAACAGTTCCAACACAGACTTTCCCTTCATCTTTGGATCCTATTTTGATTTCTTTAATATAGTAGCCAGATGAAGGAGGTGGCTTACATCTAGGGACCTTGTTATGTGAAAAATACATACCTTTAAAAACTAGAATCACACTAGGTATGCCAAGACTCCAGAATTATGAGAGGTATAAAAGAAATGAGGCAGCCTAAGGGAAGAATGTGTTCATGGTTCCATCTCATGCTTACTCTAAGGCTTACACTCAGTGAAGACAATGACAGATACAACCACTGTTTCTCCATCCCTTTCTCTCGGTATATTTATTTTTGTCCTGAGTATGTATAGTTGCCTTATTTTCGGTGCCTTTTTATCAGTTACATGTACACATGATGCAACCTCTCTACATGTAAGTTCACATTATTGAGGATCACCAAGATATCACATTAGGGTAGCCCTAACAATGTAACAATGTTAACAATCAATATTCAAATATTGTGATTGAAGCCTTATAATTTCATTTTTTTTATTGGATTCTTAAGGAAGTGAGAAACTGTAAGTAGAACATGGGAGATCTAGAATTATGATTAAATGTACTACTGGAAATCATGGTTCTCAGGACTATGGTGCTAGGATTCTACTGACATCTGGGTAGCAACTGTGTTAGTCCACTCCCATAAGATTTCCATAGCATTAGTCTGAAGCTGTTTTACATTTGCTGAAATTTACATGATTGATTAAAATTGATGGTCAGTTTTAATACTAATATGCATCCTTATAATGCCCAGATCCTGAAGTGTTTATTTATAAGTTTGGAGATTTGGACAAGGGGAAGTGAGGATGAGAAAGAAGGAGAGAAATGGAACGAAGATTTATTGAATGTCTCGTATGTATCTGAGATGCTTGGTTGAAACAGTCTATGTATTCTTTTCCTACAAGGTTTGTATTATTATGCCTATTTTATAGACTAGGTGCTCCCAGAAATTTTTTCCAAGGGTGATTCAGATAGAAAGTGGGGCTAAGCTCAAAACCAAACACAAGTATCTCTGACTACAAAGCCTGCCACTGAAAGTAAAGGAAGGCAGCTCTGCTTTGCTTCTTCATAGGAATGTTGAAAAAAAATAACTAGAGTGATATTGCAACATGTTTTGCAAAGTAAAATATGCTAAGGAAGAGCTTGTAGTATTAACCTTCTCCATAGGACTTGTACAGATGATGCACTTTAAGACTCACGAAACCAGTTTTCCTGGTGTGTAATTCCTTTTCCTGTCACTCTCTAAATATGCAATGTCATCTCCTATGTATTGTAACCTGTGCAACTGATAGCTAGTTCTAATGCTACTACTGCTTGGCTACATCATATTTAAAATTAAACTTAATAAATCTTTTAATGAAGAGATCATTCTACGTAATTAAATAAAATTTCAAAAGAGCATGTAACTGACAAACAAACTACCATAGTCAGATGATCAAGGTCAACATCAAAAGTAATAAGTCATGTTGAAAGTACCCTTGATATAATGTGATGAAAATGGCACTTGACCTCAGTGGTCCTACTCCCCAAACACATAAACCCAGTATAACTATGAGAAAACATCAGAAAGATATCAATAGAGGGATATTCTGCAAAATCCAAGTATTCCTCAAAACCAGTCATCAAAAACCAAGAGAATCTGAGAAATTGCAATAGTCAAGGGAAGCCTAAGGAGACATGATGACTATATGTGATGTGCTATCCTGGATGGGAAGCTGGAACAGAAAAAGGTAAAAATGTTAGGTAAAAATTAAGAAAATTTGAATAAAATATTAACTTTAATAATAATATATATCATAATATTGTTTCATTAATTGTGGAAGACTAGATATGTAGTATATGGGAGTCTCCATACTATCTTCATAATTTTTTAAAAAAATCTAAAACTGCTGTAAGTTTAAGAATAAAACAAAAGAGCACATAGATAGGATTTTGCTTCAAAAAAATTCTAAAATATGTATTCTCCTTTCTGTGTTCTCATGCTTCTTCAAAGATCTGAAGGACAGAGCAAGATAGCATTTTTAAAAATTCACATAAGGCCAGGCGTGGTGGCTCACGCCTGTAATCCCAGCACTTTGGGAAGCCAAGGCAGGTGGATCACCTGAGGTTAGGAGTTTGAGACCAGCTGGGTCAACATGGTGAAACCCCATCTCTACTAAAAATACTAAAATTAGCTGGGCATGGTGACAGGCACCTGTAATCCTAGCTACTCAGGAGGCTGAGGCACAAGAATCGCTTGAACCCGGGAGGCGGAGGTTGCAGTGAGCCAAAATTGCATCACTGCACTCCAGCCTGGGCGACAGAGTGAGACTTTGTCTCAAAAAAAAAAAAAAAAGAAGAAGAAGAAAGAAAAGAAAGAAAAGAAAAAAGTCACATGAAATGTGTTTATCAGGGTAAAGTGTAGCAATTTAGCCTTGTCCCATCTTGCCCTCATAAATAAAGATTAAGAAACTTGGGGCTGTTTTTCTTTAGCGTTGTTATTGATTAATTATGGTATTTTTCAAGTCGGATTACATCTGTAAAACAGATAAAACTCTACCTTGTGGGAGGCTTATAAAGTTTAATGAAATGAAACAGATAAATAGTACATAAAAAGGATTACTTTTGGGCTAACATTCTAATCACAGAGCTTTTTAAAATAATCAATTTTAAGTCATTTCAAATGCTGACCAGGTTTGACTTTCCTGTCAATACAGAGGCCTATAATGATTGTATTCCTTTGTTGAATTTTTCTTCACACAAATGAGCACACACTTAAACTTTACTTAAATGCCAGGACATGCTGACACAAGTTGGGGGCAGAATCGCATAGACAGCCCACACCCTGGCTCTTGGCTAGTTCGTGTAATCCAGGACACACTGTGACCCACCTGTGCAAGTCACTGTTTCATGAATCAGCCCCCTCCATGCAAGGGAAAATGTGCTTGGCAACCTGGCCACACTATCCTAAGGTGAGAGAAGTGATTACCTAGGAAGAAGACGTAAAGGCCACCACACGCACAGACTTGCTTTGCCCAGGACATGGGGAGTTTCTGTTTGCTTGGAATTAGCCCCAGAATTCAGAATTAAGCTAACTACAGCTTGCTTTTCTAATATCCTAAAAATGCATGCTTTTCATAAGAACCTAGGTGGTGGCTTTCCTACTTGTGCATGCTTTGCCTCTGCTCACCATCCCTGAGCCCTTAGCATTGACACAGCATTGCTTGATCTCTTCAGGTGATGTGGGGTAGAGTTTAATCAGTCAGAGGTTTATGTGCAGAAGCTACCCCACATATAATCAGAAGGAGGCATAAGACAGTGAGGGTGACTGCAGGTTCTGAAAGGAGAGCTGGTGCGGTCTATGCCAGAAACTAGGCAGGCTGGGTGCAGTATGGTCATCACATCTGTGATGTTGTTTTTCTTTTGGTTTCTGCTATTGGTGCTTAATTCAAGAGAATCTCACCCAATGAGAGCAACAGGAAATGGGCAGGCTATTCTTCTATGGAACCTGCTGGGTCTAGTCTCTGGCCCAAGGTAATTTATAAGGGCTTTTGTTCTTCCTTCATGTAGGCCCCAGGAACTCACGGTGATGAAGACTTAGGACACGTGGTAACTACTGGTAAGAATTTTATGAAACATAGTATCACCAGGCTCTGTGGCTTAATTTCTAATACTATGTGACTTGAAAGTTGTAAGACAAATTCCATAGTCTGAATTCCTTTTCTCTTCAAGACTGCCCCTACTGCATGTATCTCTAGAGATTTCTTTCTCTCCTCATCTCCAAGACTTGCTTTGAGTGGATAATATATTCCCTAATTTCTTGCTAACTATATTGACACGCACACCATTTCTGCTTTAGAAGTTTAGACTAAGTACTATAAGAATGCTGACACCAGAAAAGGATATAAGAAGCATGAGGAGAATTGTAAAAGCCTACTAAATTATGTAAAATAAAACTCCTTAGTCCCTAGCCTGAAAAGGGATGACACCCTTTGGCTTTTTTATAAGAGTGAAGTTCAGAATAAATAATAAGATGAAATATTGAGTTCCTATTTGTGAATAATATTTGTGTTTCAGGAACTTTCAGGTATGTGTTACCAAATTTGGTGGGCATTTTCACAATACAGAAGTCAGTCCCCATAAACATATTGTTGGAATAATTATATCCCTATCCAGAATTATCTGAGTATCAAGGAGTTCTTCAATCAATATACTGAAAAAGGAGAATCTGACTTCACATTTTCTTTCTATCATTTGACTCATGAGAATAACCATAATTTTATTGAATATAAATGTGAGTCTGAAGCACGTTTACAAGGCCCTGTGGCTTGGTTTCTAATGTCATTATCACTTTACTCAGCAATGTTGCTTGGACTCAACCCTAGTCCAGGATTTCCTTCCTCACTCAGTCCTCAGATCCAGAAGCTCATCTAACTGAATTTAGGCCTATGTTCCATAAAGTCACCGGAAAAGTTTATTAATTTACAATGCAAAGTATTTACACATGGAGAGTTAATTTTTTTTCTCTAGATATCTACTTCAGAAATGAGCTAAGGACAGCAGTGGGTTAAATGACAATTGAGCCAGGAAATAAAGGAAAGAGAATGTTTTTAGGTTGACAGCTTGCTGAAATTTCCTTTTATAAAATTATGGCACCTCAGAGTTATACCTAACCAAGAACCTAAATATTCCTGTCACAAGTCTGGGCACTATTAGTTTGGAGAAATACCAAAAAAATCTTACGTTATTCTCATTTTTCTGGATGCCATATGCACTGATGCCTTTCAGATTCTACATTTTCACCTTTCATTGCAACCCTCTCACAATATTTGGACAGCATCTGCATTGTGTTTTACATTCCATTTATCTGACTTATGAAAAGGAAGCATCCATGTATATATAATGTACTAATTGCTATCAGTCCCAATTAGGTAGAGCTTGCCTCTTTTCCCCCATTTTTGTTTGTTTTCTAGCATTCATCTGATTTTGGTCTGTTCTCTATATTCAATTACTACAACAGTATATGGAAGCAACTCACCACATTTCAAATTTGTATTTATAACATCAGTCGAATGGGTGCTATAGGCATAAACAACAGTAAAATGGTATTACAAAAATCATAAAGGAACATTATATAGGATAAACATTCCTTTGTTTTTCATCCTATATGTGTGAATGAAAGAATTAATATAGGATGACATAATAATGGTAAGAATCTTGGTACTTGGTATTATATAACAGTGAATGATGGGGTGCAATTGAACAAGTCTACTTTGTGGTCAATCATTACTGACTTGGGGTTTTAATTCCAAGGACATCCATTTTGTTCTAATTACAGTGCTCACAAAGCTTTGACAGCATAGCAGGCAAGCACCTAGAGAGGAAAAAAACATATTGTAATTAATATTAATAAAAATATTATAATTAATGCAGACTATAAAACATTCTTAAATTATAAAAGGAACCTGTGATCAACAAATAGTGCTGAGATAAGTGGATAGCCACATGAAAAAGAATGGAGTTGGATTCATATCTCACACCACACAGAAAAATTAATTCAAAATAGATCACAGACTTAGATGTAAGGATTACGATTTCACAGAAGAAAGCATAGGAGTAAATCTTCATGACGTTGGATTAGTCATTGGTTTCTAGATATGACCCAAGAACACAAGTCATAAAAGAAAAATTAGATAAATTGGACTTCATAAACATTAAAAACATTCTGCCTCAATGGACACCATCAAGACAGCAAAAAGGCAACCCACAGAATAGAAGAAATGATTTGCAAATCATACATCTGGTAAAGGACCTGTATGCATATATAAAGAACTCTTATAACTCAACAATAAAAAGATAAATAACCCAATTTAAAAATGAAGCTAGGTGTGGTAGATCACACCTGTAATCCCAGCACTTTGGGAGGCCAAAATGGGAGGATCCCTTGAGGCCAGGAGCTTGAGACCATTCTGGGAAATATAGCAAGACCCAGTCTCTACAAAAAAATTTAAAAATTAGGATATGATGGCACATCCTTGTAGTCCCAGCCACTCAGCTGAGGCAGGAGGATGGCTTGAGCCCAGATCAAGGCTGCAGTGAGCCGTGATTGTGCCACTGCACTCCAGCCTGGGTGACTGAGTGAGATCTTGTCTCTTGAAAAAAAAAAAGAGCAAAGGCTTTCAATAGACATCTTTTCAAACAAGATACACAAATGTCCAATAAGCACATAAAACAATGCACAATTAGAAATTAGGAAAATGCAAATCAAAACCACAGTAAAATACTACTTCACACCCACTAGGATAGCTATGATAAAAAGATGAGCAATGGCAAGTACTGCTAAGGTTGTGGAAAAACTGGAACTCTCATACATTTCTGATGGGGATATACAATGGAGCAGCACTTTGATAACAGTTTGGCAGTTCCTCAAAAAGTTAAACATAGTTACCATAAAAGCCAGCATTTCCACTCCTACTGGACCCTGTCATACTTATAACCTATATATGTTCATAGAAATTCATAATAGCCAAAAATGTACGCTACCCAAAATGTGCATCAACTGATAAGGTATGCCCATGCAAGTGTATATTATTCAGTCAAAAAATGAAGTATTGATATACACTACAGTATGGATGAACCTTGAACACATGATGCTAGGAAAAGAAGTCAGACACAAAAAGCCACGTTATATGACTCCATCTATATGAAAAGTCCAAAATAGGCAAATCAATAGAGAAAGAAAATAGATTAGTTGTTTCCTGGGTTGGGGGAGACAGGAGTCAGCAGTGATTGCTAATGGGTATTGAGTTTCTTTTTGGAGTGATGGAAATGTTCTGGAATTAATGATGGTAGTTGCAGAGCTGTGAAGATAGTAAAAAACACTGAGTTGTGCACCTTAAAATGGTGAATTTTACAGCATATGAGGTAAATGTAAGAACTACAGTTATGATTCAGAAAGGCTGAGGACTTTATTAAGGTTGGAGAGGGGTGGTGTAGTAAACTGATTAGGCCAACAGTTCTCAAAATGTGGTCCTCGAGTCAGCAGCATCAACATCACCTGACAATTTGGTAGAGATGCACAGTCTCAGGTTATGCCCCATCTACCGAGTCAAAACCCCTGGGGGCTCAGAGATTTGTGTTTTAAAGAGCCCTGCAGGTGACTGTGATGTACATGTAGGTTTGAGAGCCACTGGATTAGTTACAGCTTTAAAAGCCTAATTGCTCTTCTACTCACCAGATCTGTAGCCTTTGGCAAGTTTCTTGACCGTTCTGTGTCTCAAATTATTCATCTGGAAAAACGATTCCTCACAGGGTTGTTTGTAAGGATGAAATGTTTTAGCATAGGTAACGTGCTTAGGAGAGGACTTGCCACTTAATGAGTACTCCAAGTGTTAGCCATTATTATGCAACAGTACTGAGCTGATCGGGGAATCAAAGGCAGATGTCTGACTCAGCAGAATGTCAACCACATAAATGTAGGTATATTTTTTCTAGTAGGCACATTTTTTTAAAGTTTAACAAAGAGAAATTCATCTAATAGTATACTTTATTTAACCCAATACATCAAAAGTATAATTTCAACATGCAATCAATGTAAAATATCTAAAAAAAATTATATTCTCTTTTTCACACCAAGTCATCAAAATCCAGTGTATTTTATACTTAGAGTACTTCTCTATTTGGAATAGCCACATTTCACTAGCTTAACAGCCATATGTAGCTAGTGGCTTCTATATTAGACAACACAACTGTAACTCAAATACCATGCTCTCTTCCCTTTCTTTTTTTATTATTATTTTTTATACTTTAAGTTTTGGGATACATGTGCAGAATGTTCAGGTTTATTACATAGGTATACATGTGCCATGGTGGTTTGCTGCACCCATCAACCCATCATCTACATCAGGTATTTCTCCTAATGCTATCCCTCTCTTTGCTCCCCACCCCCCGACAGGTCCCGGTGTGTGATGTTCCCCTCCCTGTGCCCATATGTTCTCATTGTTCAACTTCCTCTTATGAGTGAGAACATGTGGTGTTTGGTTTTCTGTTCCTGTGTTAGTTTGCTGAGAATGATGTTTTCCAGCTTCATCCATGTCCCTGCAAAGGACATGAACTCATTCTTTTTTATGGCTGCATAGTATTCCATAGTGTATATGTGCCACATTTTCTTTATCCAGCTCATCATCTCTGGTCATTAGTGAAATGCAAATCAAAACCACAGTGAGATACCATCTCACTCCAGTTAGAATGGTGATCATTTAAAAGTCAGGAAACAACAGATGCTGGAGAGTATGTGGAGAAATAGGAACACTTTTACACTGTTGGTGGGAGTGTAAATTAGTTCAACCATTGTGGAAGAGAGTGTGGCGATTCCTCAGGGATCTAGAACTACAAATACCATTTGACCCAGCAATCGCATTACTGGGTATATACCCAAAGGATTATAAATCATTCTACTATAAAGACACATGCACACGTATGTTTATTGCAGCACTACTCACAATAGCAAAGACTTGGAGCCAAGTCCCAAGTTCCTGAACATTCAGAGATGTAGTCTCTGCCTGAGGATTTCCAAAGAGTAGATCACCAGATGGGGACAGGTCATGAAGTATCATTTCCTAGCCATGTCCCATCATAACAGGTGATGCTGGCTTGCAGACGAGTCTCCTATTGACCCACCACCTCAGCTACACATTGTTGTAATAGAACTGGTAAACTGCCTGAAGAGAATCTTCATAGAGGAACGTATTAGATTTCAGGCTCTTATGTGTTGCTCACTGTTGTATCCATAGGGTCTAGAAAATGTGCCTGGCACACGGCAGGTACTCAACACACTTTTTTTCAAATCATGAATAAACATTAACAGTGTTTTTCTAACTTAGCCTTTAATTTTCGAATATTTTCAAATATCCAAAAACATCAAAATATTCTTTTAATATTGTCATTCCTTCTCACAAGCAGATCCATTTTTGTCTTCTAACTTTAAGCTCCTAGTTACCTTTAAACATTTATCAAGCCCTTAGTAAAGATCAGGTTTCATAGAATATAAACCCACAATACAATTGCTGATATTTAGGGTTTTATTTTCTGTGACAGAGTACATATTTCATATATGTACAAACATCATACAAAGATCATAAATATAATTTTTAAAATTTTTTATTGCTGGTCTAAGAAAAAAATGAAAGCAAACATCCAGAGTTATAAGATTCACGATTTTCCCTGCATTCTCAGTAGCAGTACCTACAGGACATACTTTTATGTTAAAGGCCCATGCTGCCGGAAGATGCTGACATTCTTATAACTTATGACCTGAACAATCTGAAGGAGCACAAAGAAACACCACTGATGTGTGAGTGAATGGTTGCCCAGGGAGGCTGGCACCTGAAGTGCATTAATTTCTTCACTGAGGTCCTAAGAGTCTCACAGCAAGATGTAAGTAGTTTACTCAGAATAAAAGACAAGGTCTTAGTAAAGGCCTACAAGGTCTCTCTGACTTCATTCCACTGGAGGGGAGTGAGTGTGGGGAAGAATATTCCTTCATATTCCTCAAACACACCAGGTTTGCTCCACCATTCCTGCTGTGCTCTGTAAGTTCTCACTGCCTGGGATATTCTTTCCCCAGTACCCACTTGGCTAACTACTCTCACTGCCTTTGTCTTGCTCAAATGTCTCTCCTTCTTCAGGAGTTCTACCCTGATTGCATTATTAAACGCAGCCATCTGCCCCCATTCTGTCACACCCCCAACCCTGCCCGCCATATTCCTTAGCCTGCTATCTACTCCCCTTAGCACTTCCCACCTACTGAAGATATGGCATACCGTGTTCTTTACTGTTCCTCACACTAGAACGTAAACTCCACAAGGGTAGATCTCTTCAGTGTTTGGTTCACTGAGGTACCCTACCCCAGAATAGTAGCTGGCAGATAGTAGGTACTCCATAATAACTCCTTGAAGAATGAATACAGGAATTAGTTCACTCATAGATCAAGCTGTTTAATATATCACTTTTCCCTTTCAGTTTTAGTCTGCTCTAATATTAATATCTGCTGGGAGGTTTTGCGTGTCTGAGAAGTTGAACTCTCCCAACCTGTTGGTTGGGCTTACTCAGTGAAGGATCTAGTCTCTGGAATTTATTCTTCTGGGCAGGCTGCCAGAAACTGAATTTGTCGTCTTTGGGGTATGATGCAAGATTTAGGGTTCTTTGTTATTCTGAGGGGTGTGTTTCAATTTTGGCTGACTTTATTGTTTTGTCTGGGAATTTATTCCTGTTTTGAGTTTTATTTGTCTGGGTTGATCAAGCAATTTAGCAACTATTCTTCACAGAGCTATGGTATACTAGAAATTAGAGCTGAAAAACACCTCATGGTTGATCCAGACCATCCCCCTGCCATTAAGTCTTCTTGCTCACCACAATACACTGTCCATGGCTTTGTTCAATGAAGTTTTAAATGTCCTTAGAGATTCTTTTGGGCACCCACTCAACTAACCTAATACTCCTGAAAATTAACAAGAATCCCCAATGTTTTGTCTAAACTTTCCCTTTCTTATTTTCATTTTATTTCTCCTATTTACAGTCCAAGGTGAACCCTTTTTCTTTTGGAATTTTATACCTTTCAGAGAGTTGTGGACTTACATTTCTGCTCTATTAGTTCTTTAACCAAACTATGTGTTCCTACCTTAATCTTTCTTCATTCTCTTTGTTTAATTTTGGTTTTGGTTATTGAATTCCTTCCAACTCATCACCTTGGTTTGCAGTATGTATAGTTTCACTGTTCACCCATTGAACGACTATCACAATGCTTTTCCATCAGAAACCTTAAGACAAAGCACTGACATCTGCCATATATAATTACAAATATATCCAATTTGATGCCATAATCAACCTAGGGTGTTTTCATTTTACTCATCAGAATATTAAATAAGTTCTGTGCAATGCTGTTTACTTAACTTGATTTTAAATTCTGATGTTAATTGTGTAATATCAGACATCTCACTTAAGCCCTTTGTACTTTTGTTTTTATATCTGCAAAAGGAGAGCACAACATCAGCTTCAGCCTCCTTTGCTGTAATCTTATGAATATAAATATGCTATTCTAGGGCTAGAAAGAGATTTTTCAGAGAGAAAAACACCTCACTTCCCAGCTTTCAGACAGAATCACACAGGATAAATTATTCTCAATATATGAAGTTCAAATGACACTCTTTTCTGCTTACAGTAATTTATGCTAAATCAATCCATCTCCATTTGTAGTAAAGGGCAAATTTTTAAAATTCAAAAATGCCATGGGCTGATTTTTATAAAATACGAAATCACAGGGTTGGATGAAGTGGCAGTGTCAAACTGCTCTAAGAGTTTCTACATGTTTATGCTCACTTTCTATAGTTGTCTTTTATAGGCGCTGGTCCAGGGACCCCACTTTGAGTAGCTCTGTGCTAGACAATTATATGCCTCACCTTCAGATTCAGATATAGGCTCAGAGGCCTGACAGATACTTTTCAAGATAACTCTTTCTCTTCTAATGATTAACATTAGACTTGATTTTACTTTTCAATTTTTGTACTTCAATTCAAAATCAACTTTAAAAAAATAGAATAGCAAATCAATTAATCATTCCTCTCAAAACATTTGATTACATATTTCTCATTTATTTATCGTCACCTTTTTTCAAAGTGTGGCAATCCTTAATTCATATCATAAAATCAAATCTGAATGAAAAATACTTTTAAGAAAGAAGAAAAAATTAATTCCATGGAGCTTACACCAGACCCCTGAGTTACAGAATGATCCCTTAGTCACAGCGATGCTAGCAGCTCCACTTCTCAAACTGACACTAGTCTCTGGCAGCCTACCGTCAGGGATAGGCTGACAGCAAGCAAACACATTCCAATCAAAAGGAAGGCAAAATCACCCAGTGCTAATTCTACCCCACCTGGCAGTCTGCCACCAACCTTTACTCTTCGGATTTAAGACATAGATCGTATATCAGAAATAACTGGAGTAGCTATTACATAAGTTGGTTATGGGATGCATATGCTTTCAGCTAGCATCTTTTATAGTTTGGGTACAAGAAAAATTTTGAGTTTTAGCACTCTTTTCTGGAATAGGCTTCTCTTATTTTTAGTGGGTTTTAATTATGTTGAGAAGGAATTAAATAATGATATATTGAAATTTCATTTTTCCAGGGAATTAAAAAAAAATAAAATTAATTGGAAAACATGAAATGTGAGGAAATATTAAATACAGTTTTAAACTGAACAAACGTAATCCATAAGTTACACATTGGGCTTTTTATGATCTAAAAATTTCTTCCAAGAAAAAGAAAAATTGAAATTCAAAGACTTATGAGCTTGTTTCAAAAAATAGTAAAAATAAGTTCCAACTGGTATAAGAACATGGATAAAGTACCAACTCATGGTCAAGGTACAACATGATACCAGGGCAAATAATAGCACAGGATGAGTGAGGTATTAGCAGAGAAGAAACTTTAAATGCAGAACATTTTATACTACTTTAAGGGATTTTATACAACTAAGAAAACATATATATATATATACACACACACACATATGTATAAATAGCAGAGAAAGTGTATTAAAACAATATATTTCTGATGAAGTTCTTCTTTACACAATTTTCTAAGAGCAAGCACATGGCCAATGTGGATTAATCATTAATGAATTTAATAAAGTGAACAGATTATTAGCTCCTAAAGCTAGTTATTTTGTTTTTCAAATGTTTCAAATGTGCCAGATGTTTCATAAAAATAGTTTTTATTATTTAAAATGATTTATGAGGCTAGAATGCCCAACTTCTATTTCTGTGTTAAAATCTAAATGTTAAAAACCGTTAACAGACAAACAGAATTTACAGTTCAGTTAGCAGTCACTGAATGTGAAAAGAGTTCTTAAAATGCTCCTCTTCAGAGCCATTCTCGTTCCCATAGAAACCAATGTGAGATCCTGGAAAACAAGGTAAGTTCTAAAATAATCACCATTATAAATACCCATTATATAAATGTAAATACAGGCAATTGAAATGATTTAGATGATTTTGAAATTGCATATCATTTCCCAAACCATAATGATTCCTTCAGAGTGGTTCCTGTCTGTCATATAAATACAGCATTTACAAAATTTTAAAAATTCTTATGATTTACCTGTGAGACCATAATCGCCTTTTCAAACAAGTCTTGGGCATGCAAATACCGATTTTTGAACAGGTAGTTTGGTCCAAAATAGGGTCTTTTTGGGCTGGGCTCTTATGTTGTGGTAGATTAAGTACTTCTCATTATTAGCATTTACATTTTCAATAACTGTATCTTTATTCATTAGTAATTGTTCTACAATGAGATCTAAATATTTCAGGGAGCTTACAATGATAATTTTTCATATTTTCATTTGTCCAGGCATTTTGTTATGACAAAAGAGCCAAAAAAGCTCCGTCTATTTGGGATTGTAATTCTTCCCAATGTCCAGAATCAATCACTGGGTACAAAGTACTCATAATACTAATAAAGATGTGAGTGTGAGTTGTTCCCAGGTATATATACACCTTCCAAGAAGAGCTAAGCTCCTCCCCCATAAACCAAGCCATTAAACATATCACACACAAAAATCAACTCAAAGTGGATTAAAGGCTTAAATATAAGACCGGACACTGTAAAACTCCTAAAAGAAAACAGGAGGAAAGCTTCCTCATATTGGTCTAAAAACTATTTTTTGAATATCCCAAAAGTAAAAATAGACAAGTGGGACTATATCAAACTCAAAAGCTTCTCGACAGCCAAGGAAACAGAATGAAAGGCCAATCTATGGAATGGGAAAAAATATTTGCAAACTATTTATCTCATAAGGGGTTAATATCAAATACACATAAGGAACTTCTATAACACAACAGCAAACAAAACAAAGCAAAACAAAAACCCAAATATCCCAGTTAAATAATTGGCAAATGATTGGAATAAACATTCATCCAAAGAAGACATACAAATGACAAAAAGGTATATGAAAAGATTCTCTACCTCACTACTCATCAGGAAAATGTAAATCAAAACAACAATGAGATATTATGTCATACCTGTTAGAATGGCTATTATAAAAAAAAATAAGGTAAGTGTTGGTGAGGTTGTGGAGAAACTGGAACCCTTGTGTGATGTTGATGGAAGTCTAAAAATGGTGCAGCCTCTATGGAAAACAGTATGGAGTTTCCTTAGAAAATTAAAAACAGAACAACCATATGATCGAATTATTCCACTTCTGGGTATATATCTAAAGAAATTGAAATCAGGCTCTCAAAGAGATATCTGTACTTCCATGAATATGTAGTGTTATTGTAGTATTATTTGCAATAGCCAACATATAGAAATAATCTGAATGCCCATCAACTAATGAATGGATTAAGAAAATGTGGTATATATACACAATGGAATATTATTTAGCCTCAAAAAAGGAAATCCTGCTATATACAACTGTATAAAAAAGTAAAACACAACAACATGAATGAATCTGGAGGATATTATGCTAAGTGAAATAAGCCAGTCAGAAGAGACAAATAATGCACGATCTCACTTAAATGCAGGATCCAAAATAGTTCAAATAATAGAAACAGAGAACAGAATGGTAGTTGCCAGGGACTAGGGGACAGGGAAATGGGGATTTGCTATTCAATGGTTATAAAGCTACAGTTATACAAAATGAATAAGTTCTAGAGATATGCTGTACAATATAGTGCCTACAGTTAACAGTACTGTATTGTGCACTCAAAAATGGAAGAGGGTAGATCTTATGTTAAGTCTTCTTACCACAATGATAATAATAAACCCAAATGTATATCACAATGGGCTTTAGAGCTGGCTGCAAGTATCCAGAATCTGCCTGCATTGTTAGAGTCCACTTTTCTTAAAGATCCTTAATTTTAAGATCTGTTTCAGGAGAAAGTGAGTATATTTTAAAGGTCCAGAAAGAATGAAAATTTGAACAGACAGCTATACATTTACATGAAATAAGAAATCTCCTATAAAAGATATCCTAATCACAACTTTCTAATGTCCCATCCTTTATACACTTCCTTATTCATTTCCAGTGCTACAAATTGATATGGCTTGGTTTGTCCAACCCTTTTAGAATTTCATTTTTCTCTGAATAGAATTACACTTACATTTATTACAAATATATGTGGAATTTTAATGATGGTGTTGATAGCTGCCTAAAAGCTGTGACCTGGTGGAGAAAGGAAGTTCCTGAAAGTGTGCTGCAGACCAGCTTTATGGATTTATTATAATATTATCTAGGACCTGCCCTTTAGAGACTCATAAGAAGCTACAGCAAATGGTTGTGTTCTAGAGGTTAAAGAAAGCAGATAAAAAGATAGCTCCATTACTCAGCACAGCAAATGTTCAGTATATCTTGATGACAAGCATAGAAGTGGTTGGAAATAGTCGACTTCCCTTCTGTGAAGAAGCTTATGCATTGCTAGAGGATAGGAACCAGCATTATCATCCTCCTTTCTACATCAAACAACCATTACTTACCGTGTATTTGCTATATGCTGGGCACCGGAGAGTTTTATATGCAGTAACTTAATCCTAATAACATTATGAGGAAAGTAATTTTACTACTTCCATTTCAAAGATTGGAAAAATGAGGCACACAAGGGAAATTTCCTAGAGATACAGCCAGCAAATAGTAGAGCCTGATTCAAATTCAGGAAGGATGAATTTGGAGACCAAGCTTTTTACATATGCTGAAAGAATGTCTTAGAAATTGAGGTGTAGGTCAGCTTCCTCAACCCTTCATGGCTAGTTAGCTCTGCTCTCCCAAAGTCAAATTGAAGTTGCCTTTGAAATCAGTCCTTCCTCTAGACATCAACCATTAAATATCCTCTCACTGTTTCTCCTTGGATAGGCATTACAAGCATATGCCACCATGCCCAGCCTCAAGTAAATTTTTTTTCTCTAAAAGTTTCATTAGGGATTCTTATGATATTAGTTATATAACAAATACCTGAACTCTTAAGTGGGCTATGGACTGACCATTTAGTAACTAGACAGAATGGACTATAACAGGTTGACCTTTCTGTACAGACCTGTTATAGTCCATTATAGTTATAGTCCAACCTGTTATAGTCCATTCTGTCTAGTCACTAAATGGTCCCTCCATTGCCTGCTTAAGAATTCAGGTATTTGTCATAAAACTAATATCATAAGAATCCCTAATGAAATTTTTAGGGAAAAAAATTTACTTGAGGCTGGGCATGGTGGCATATGCTTGTAATCCCAGTACTTTGGGAGGCCACGGCAGTAGGATCGCTTGAGCCTGGGAGTTTAAGACCAGACTGGGCAAAATGGCGAGACCTCATCTTTACAAAACATTAGCTGGGCATGGTGACCTGAACCTGTAGTCACAGCTATCAGGGAGGCTGAGGTGGGAGACTTACCAGAGACCTGGTGGTTGAGGCTCCAGTGAGCCATGATCGTGCCACTGCACTCCAGCCTGTGCAAAAGAGTGAGACAATGTCTCAAAAAAAAAAAAAAAATTTAGAGACAAACAGAATCATCTACTACAAAATATACTGCTAACTTGTTTTCCTACCTATAAAGTTAAAACTATTCAATCAATTACAGATATGATATAATATGTAAGTGAAGGCATAGTTTTGACTACAAATGCTTTTCATAAGATTGTTGAGAGTTTCTGAGTCATTGAGCGTTAATCCTAGAGTTCGATTTTCTTTTTCATTCTACCTCCTTGCCTTCTGCACTTCCGTCTACATTCATGTGTCAGAGAAAAAATGATTCTGGGGGTTCTGGTGTTAACTGTCTGCCTCTGCACATCAGGATGGTTTGTTTCCTATCATTTAAGAAAGTCCTTAGAATACAATAGCTTCACCACTTCTTAGCACTATGACCTTGGCCACATTACCAATCTCTCTGAGTCTCAGTTCCTCAAGTATAAAATGGATTTAAATTGTACTCAGTAGGTGTACTAGTCTGTTCTCATGCTGCTAATAAAGACATACCTGATACTGAATAATTTATAAAGGAAAGAGATTTAATTGACTCACAGTTCCACATAGCTGGGGAGGCCTCACAATAATGGCTGAAGGCAAATAAGGAGGAAAGTCATGTCTTATCTATTGCAGCAGACAAGAGAGCAGGTGCAGGGGAACTCCCCTTCATAAAACTATCAGATCTTGTGAGACACAGTCACTATCACAAGAACAGCATAGGAAAGACCCACATCCATGATTTAATTACCTCCCACTGGGTCCCTCCCACAATATGTGGGAATTATAGGAGCTACAATTCAAGATGTGGTAGGGACACAGTCAAACCGTATCATTCTGCCCCTGGCCCTTCCCAAATCTCATGTCCTCCCATTTTAAAACAAATCATGCCTCCCAACAGTCCCCCAAAGTCTTAACTCATTTCAGCATTAACTCAAAAGTCGACAGTCCAAAGTCTCATCTGAGAAAAGGCAAGTCCCTTCTGCCTATGAGCCTGTAAAATCAAAAGCAAGTTAATTACTTCCTAGCTACAATGGAGGTACAGGCATTGGGTAAATATACTCATTCTAAATGGGAGAAATTGGCCAAAATGAAGCAGCTACAGGCCCCATGCAAGTCCAAAATCCTGCGAGGCAGTCAAATCTTAATGCTCCAAAATGATCTCCTTTGACTCCTTGTCTCACATCCAGTTCACACTGATGCAAGAGGTGAGTTCCAGTGGTCTTGGGCAGCTCTGCCTCTGTAGCTTTGCAGGGTACAGCCTCTCTCCTGGCTGCTTTCAAAAGGTGGTGTTGAGTGTCTGTAGCTTTTCCACGCATACGATGCAAGCTGTTGGTCAATCTACCATTCTGAGGTCTGGAGGAAGGTGGCTGTCTTCTCAGCTCCACAAGGCAGTGCCCCAGTGGGAACTCTGTGTGGGGGTTCTAACCCCACATTTCCCTTCTGCACTACCCAGCAGATGTTCTCCATGAGGGCTACACTTCTGTAGTGAACTTCTGCCTGGATATCCAGGCATTTTCATACTTCCTCTGAAATCTAGGTGGAGGTTCCCAAACCTCAATTCTTGACTTCTGTGCATCTGCAGGCCCAATACCGTGTGGAAGCTGCCAAGGCTTGGGGCTTGCACCCTCTGAAGCCATGGCCTGAACTGTACCTTGGTTACACAGGGCACCAAGTCCTGAGGCTGCATACAGCAGGGGGGCTCTGGGCCCAGACCATGAAACCACTTTTCCCTCCTAGGCCTCTGGGTCTGTGATGGGTGTGGCTGCCATGAAGGTCTCTGTCATGTCCTGGAGAGATTTTCCCATGTCTTGGCAATTAACACTTTGCTCCTTTTTACTTATGCAAATTTCTGCAGCCAGCTTGAATATCTCCCCAGAAAATGGGTTTTTCTTTTCTACTGCATCATCAGGCTGCAAATGTTCCATACTTTTATGCTTTGTCACCTCTTGAATGCTTTGCTGCTTAGAAATTTCTTCTGCCAGATAAGCCTAAATCACCTCTCTCAAGTTTAAAGTGCCACAGTTCTCTAAGGCAGGCATAAAATATGACCAGTCTCTCTGCATAGCAAGAGTGAACTTTACTCCAGTTTCCAACAAGTTCCGCATCTCCATCAGAGACCACCTCAGCCTGGACTTTATTTTATAGTCCATTTCACTATCAGCATTTTGGTCAAAGCCACTCAACAAGTCTCTAGGAAGTTCTGAACTTTCACATCTTCCTGTCTTCTGAGCCCTCCAAATCTCTAAGAAGTTCCAAACTTTCCCATATTTTTCTATCTTCTTCTGAGCCCTCCAAACTGTTCCAACCTCTGCCTGTTACCCAGTTCTAAAGTCGCTTCCATATTTTCAGGTATCTTTATGGCAGGGCCCTACTACCCTGTACCAACTGACTGTATTAGTTTGTTCTCACGCTGCTAATAAAGACATACCTGGGACTAGGTAATTTATAAAGGAAGGAGGTTTAATTGACTCACAGTTCCACATGGCCAGGGAGGCCTCACAATCATGGCTGAAGGTGAATGAGGAGCAAAGTCATGTCATACTTGGTGGCAGACAAGAGAGCTTGTATAGGGAAACTCTCCTTTATAAAACCATCAGATCTTGTGAGACTTATTCACTATCAGGAGAACAGCATGGGAAAGACCCGCCCCATTATTCAATTACCTCCCACTGAGTCCCTCCCACAACATGTGGGAATTATGGGAGCTACAGTTCAAGATGGGATTTGGGTGAGGACAGAAGCAAACCATATAAATAGGGCTGTTGAGAGGAGGATTAAATAAGAAAATACACAAAATGGGTTTAGCCCAGTGCCCGATACAAAGTAAACACTAAATATACATTATTAGAGGGACTGACTTCCTCAAAAAGTATTAAAAAGATATCATCAAGGAAACAAAACACACACTTAGAGACTTTAAGCGTTGACAAGGAGAATATGAAATATTTAAAAATATAAGTTCCTTAGTTAATAATAGCTAACATGTATTGATCACTTATTATGTGCCAGGCATTGAACTATGCACATTATATACATAATCTCCTTTAATCTTAACTGTGACTGCGAATAACCAAAATGTATTACAGAGAAATTAAGTAATTTGTCTAAACTCCCCTTTAGAAGGAACTGAGCCTAGATTTATAATACAAACTGGTCTGCAAATATGTATTCTTAATATCATTTTCCAAAATTATTCCCCGTGCCACGACCCTTGAAATGCAAAGTTGCTCATTGTGCCATGTGCCATGACATTTATGGCCGTACCACCCTGAACATGCCCCATCTCATCTGAAATAAGAAGTTATTTAAGTTTCAGCATTCTGGATTTCACAAACCAGTACAATGGAAGAAAGGGCAGGGGTGGTGGAACTTGACGTAAGATTGTTGATTTTTAAATCAACAATCTCTCTTTAAATTGAATATAGTTTTAGGGGGAAAAAATCACCATATTGCTGTTGATTTTTTTCTTTTGCTAAGGATTGATACAAACTTCATCATATATCAAATGAAATAAATAATAGGTCCAGGAACTAAAATTTGGGTTTTCTGATTCCTTGGCAAAATCTTTTTTTTTTTACCTTCTTTAAAAAATTATTTTAATTGACAAATAAAAATTGCCTATATTTGGGAGCACATGTTTTAAAATACAAATACATTGTATAATGACTAAATCACACTAAATAAGATATGCATTACCTGACATAATTTTTTTGGTAGTGAGATACCATTATTTTCAGTAATCTATATAAATCAAATAGTATAAGAGATACATTTTTTAAAAATTTCATCTAATTGTAGTTCTTGGCCAAGTTTGTTCTACATTTAGTTATTCAATTTTCTGTATTCCCAAACACTCTGTTCATTTCTCACTAATATTAAGATGCAGATTCAAGTGGATTACTGTGTTTCATTGTGATTTATCTGTTTACATGTCTCTGAGCAGCATATAAGCTCCTTGAAGAAAGGGACCTTGTCTATACATGTTTGATGCACAGCTCCTGGTAAGCGGTATGACCTTACATTGTTGAATAAAGGAATGGCATTTATAGATATAATCTGGAACATGTATCAACATTTACAATAATACTCAATTTGTGTACGTATATTCCATAATATTCATCCATATACATCCATATATTATATATAGAGTTCCATGAAGTTCACTACTGTATTCAAAATGATATTCAAATGCTATTCAAACAATTCTAAATGATATATTTTGAACACCATAAAATGTTACACAAATCCATAAATAGCATTACTGTATAATAACCTGTAAACCAGAGTTACTACACACACATACACACCACACAAATTCTATTTAAAAAGCTATTTTACCACAAAGTAATTCTAAGACCTTATAAACACTGCCTAATGGAAAAGTCTGGAGATTGGAGCCAGGCAAAAAAATCTGCATTTCGGTTGTCTAGAACTACCTGAGTGACTTCGGCTGCTTCCTACCGAACCTGAATTTTCTGTGATGTGGAGACATTTAATACCACCTTTAGGGAACTGGCTTAAGGACTGGAGGTAATAACGTATGTGAAGGGCTGATGAATGTTTGCAGTCACACTGTAGTCTCTCTAGAGTTCCTTCCTCGGTTGCAAACTAAGGGTTTTTTTGTTTGTTTGTTTTACACATTATGAGTCTCTTATAGTCAGGAAAACTACACGGATCTCAACTTTGGCAATACAGAGAGTCCGAATAACAAGGTAGAGACCAAAAAAAAAAAAAAAAAAAAATCACCTCTACAACTCGGAAAAAGCGCTAACCCCGCAGGAAGCGCTGGGCCGACCTCCAGTATCCCAGCATTCCTCGCGCTGCTCCCGTATTCTTTCCCCAAGTCTCTATGGTAGCGTCAGCGTCGGAGGCGGTAGTGACGGTGGCGTTTCCTTGAGGAAGAGTGAGGGTTCCAACTTTTCTGCTTATCTGGGAGGTGTTGGGCGCGGACAGTCGAGATGTCAGAGAAAAAGCAGCCGGTAGACTTAGGTCTGTTAGAGGAAGACGACGAGTTTGAAGAGTTCCCTGCCGAAGGTAACCGCTGGGCCCCGGTTTCTGTGTCGCGCGAACGGTGACTCAGGCCTCCGTGTGGAGGTAGCTTGGGTGCTCGGGCCCAGCTGGGGGCACCGGCGGGAAGTTTGGACTCCCAGGGCCGGCACTCGAGGCGCTAACGCTCACCCCTCAGTGGCGCCCCAGATTCGGGTTTGGGGTGTTGCGCTGGGACTCACTGGTGAGGCCCAATGGCTTCGGCTTCCTCACTGGGAGGAGCCACCGTGAGTCTGGACCCATAGCCCCGCGTCTGTGATGGTTGGTCCATTTACTGTTCACCTGGGTTACTCACCACTTAAACTTAGTTCAAGTCTACATAACCTCCTTTTCTTTTTGTTTTAGCAGTCTTTCTTTGTCTTTAAACCTTTCCAGAATTGAATTGTCAGTAGTTACGCCAATGCTGCTTAACTTTTAGGATGTTACAAATGAAGCCTCATTAAGTAGGATAGGAGGGTAAGATACGGGGTGCTTAATACACATTATTGCCTCATTCCTGTTCCTCACCATTTTGATCACTTAACTGTGACCTAACTTAATGCTTTATAAGACCCTAAAACTTGCCGGGTGTGGTGGCTCACGCCTGTAATCGCAGCAGTTTGGGAGGAAGAGGCAGGAGGATCACATAAGGTCAGGAGTTCAAGACCAGCCTGGGCAACATAGCGAGACCCTGTCCCTACAAAAATAAAATATTTTTTTAAAAGAACCTAAACCTTACACATTTTTTTTTTTAGCTTCAAAACTAAAGACCTGGTTTTTTCATTGTAGATAATAGCAAATTGCTAACATTTATTGAGTGGCTGTTGTTTTCAGGAACTTGTCTAAGTGCTTTACTTGTAATAGCATATTCCACTTTCATAAATATAAGAAGTAGGCCTCAGTATTGCCATTCTTCAGATAAACTGAAGCTCGGAATGGTTAAGAAACCTTCTGATGTCTCATAACTAGTTAGAAATAATAGAACTGGAACTGGGAAACCTGGCCTGATTGACACCAAAGCTCTTAACTTCAGCTGTACTGCTTCTGTTTGTGAGATTGCTGTTGCCAGTTAGGTTTTCAAAATAGGCTGCTTTATTGGCTGATGGTTGATGAGTAGGATTTGTAAATATTTACCTTATAAGAAAAGGAGATTACTTTCTGAAGGTGGTAGAAAGAGAATTGTGGTTAATGGGGTACACATCCTGTTGCATCAAGCAATTACTACTTCACTAAAATTGTCCCAAGTTGTATACCCTATGATGATCCTATTGTGCATAAAACCACATAGCTGGAACATTTGTTCTATTTATAATGTACTGTTACTTTGTTTAGTGGAAGAGAACATTAGTGTACATGCTACAGAAACTGGTAAACTAACCCAAAGCACATTTCTTTTCAGTTCTGGAATTAATTATGTGTTGTAGGCATTCTTAGTTTTTTGTTTTGGTAATGGATTTATCTATTCAGTCATGTTTTCTTTAGCTCGCTTTCAAGTTGCTTCATAATCCGCCAACATAGAGCTGTGTCGTAGAAAGCTGGCCTATTGAAGGTAGGATCTACTTCTTACTCAAACTTAATACTTCAAATAGCATTCTTCATTATCATATACAGGGTGGAATGTTAGGCACTTTATTTGCATTACATAATCTAATTATCACTATCACCTTGAGAATATGGAGGCTTAGAGACAAAAAGAAAAACAAACAAACAAAACTTGCCATTATGTCCAAGCCAGGATCTGAAAGGTCTAACTCCCTGATCCAAACTTTATCTGTAACATTTAGCAAAGTGCCTGATACATAGTAGGTGGTCAATAAATGCATGTTGAATGAATGATGAATGAACCCGCATTTAAAATGAGTAGTTAGTTGATAATTGACTGCTTAAAAACGATCTAGAGATAACTATGTACCTGATGGTACACTTGATTTTTTTCAGCAACTTTCATCAGCTTTTGCGAGTGTAGTTTGTGCTTGTTCTAAGTTTATATGTGAGCAGCAATTTTTCAAAGTGTCAGTAGTTATATAGTAAAACAAAACAAAAAGGTAAAAGGAAAAGCAAAAAAAAATTATTCTTTCTAAGGACAAAAGACTCACAACAGACTTGTTTATTAACATTAAGTAATTGACCATTTATGGGTCTCCTTACAGAATGTTTGTTGTCTTCAGGTATAAATGTGTAGAATTAATTCATTCAGGAAACTTTCCATTTTAGAGTGAGAAACATTTTTAATGCCTTTATTTTGTTCAAGTTTCTCTTCTCTGGTTTATGATTTGGAGAGGTTTTTCTTAATTTGAATTTGTGAGAAAATCATCCCACAAGGTGAAACCACTCAATATTTACTCATGAAAGTTGTTCTGATGAGTAACAAAAGCAAAAGAAAAACACTTCAGAAAATATCACCAAAGAATTATTTCTTTTCTGAGAATCTACATTTCCGACATGTTTTGGTCTAGTCAAGGTTTAGAGTCTGTTACTATTCAAAATGTGATCCATGAAACAGCAGACTTGGCATTGCCTGGGAGCCTGTTAAAATTGCAGCATCTCATCATTCCTCAAACCTAGACCTACTTAATCAGTGTGGGCTTTACCAGGATTCCTAAGAGAGATGTTTGAAAAAACATTAAAGTTTGAAAAGTATTACTTTAAAACAGTGACCTATTTTCAATCTTTTGGTATTTGAGTTTTCACTTCAAGTATTAATGCCCTGATTTACTTTCAAGTTCTTTCTGTACTTTGGAAAATTATTTTTCTTGTAAGTATGCCATTGACAAATTCACTAACAGATACAAATTAAAATTGGTGTTGTTAAGGCAGCCTATGAACATCTCTGCAGTCTATAACAGATCTTACTTTCAAACGCTTTGTTGAGTGTCAGTGCTCCAGAAAGTGGATTTTATCCACTCTCGGGTAACTTGGAGTATAGAGGTTGCCACATGAAAGTCGTTACTGGTGGTTCGACTAATAGATTTTCTTTTGGGAGTGGGTCTTTCTTTTGGGAGTGGCGTTGCTACATCCCATCTTGCATAAGAATATGTTTGGTAGGATGTTCATTTAATCATTTTAAGGAAAGGGAATTTTTATTGTTTCTTCTCTCTCTCTTTTTTTTTTTTTTTTTTTTTTTTTGTTTGTTTGAGATGGAGTTTCACTCTTGTTGCCCAGGCTGGAGTGCAGTGGCGCGATCTCGGCTGACTGCAACCTCCACCTCCTGGGTTCAAGCGATTCTCCTGCCTCAGCCTCCCGTGTAGCTGGGATTACAGGCATGTGCCACCATGCCCGGCTAATTTTGTATTTTTGGTAGAGACAGGGTTTCTCCATGTTGGTCAAGCTGGTCTTGAACTCCCGACCTCAGGTGATCCACCCGCCTCTGCCTCCCAAAGTGCTGGGATTACAGGTGTGAGGCACCATGTCAGCATAGTTTCTTCTCAATAGCCCTTCAATGTAAAGTGCAACATCTGGAAGGAGTCTCTGAAGGTACAAATGCTGCTTTTATTTTTTCCCCCATTCTATAGCCTGTGAATTGGTGCTACATTGGCATTTCCTCACAATTATTCTAATTGGTGGGTGTGTAATCTTCTGGTCATTAAGCAGGAGCTGTAAAAAATCATATTTAGGATCTTTGTGATATACAGCCTCCAACTTCTTGACTACTTAAACTGATTTAGAACAGCCTTTATTAGGAAGACATTCAAGGTCCTGGGTGTGATTGATTTTGATATGATTTTGGAAGCTTTGAAATGGTTAGAATTCTAGGACCGGAGGGCAACTTAAAAGTCTAGAGAAGATTTCATTTTTCAAATCATACGGTCAGGTTGGTGGTGATAGAGTCAAAAACTGAAGTAGTCTATAATTTATTTAAAACTTTTTTTTTTTTTTTGAGACAGAGTCTCGCTCTGTCACCCAGGCTGGAGTGCAGTGGCGCAATCTCGGCTCACTGCAAGCTCCACCTCCTGGGTTCACACCATTCTCCTGCCTCAGCCTCCCTAGTAGCTGGGATTACAGGTGCCCGTCACCACGCCCGGCTAATTTTTTTTGTAGAGATGGGGTTTCATGGTGTTAGCCAGGATGGTCTCGATCTCCTGACCTGGTGATCCGCCCGCCTCGGCCTCCCAAAGTGCTGGGATTACAGGCATGAGCCACCGCGCCCAGCCTAATTTATTTAAAACGTTGACTACTTTTCCATATCAAATTATTGAAAGAGTTTTAAAAAATATTTTTATTAGTTTCTCTGACAATTAGATGTGGATTCGAGTAAAAGAGGGAAGAGAACAAGTGCTCCTTTAGATTCTTTTATTCTCTTCCTGTGCCAGAATTGAAAGGGTTTTTTTTTTTTTTTTGAGAGAGAAGCTTTTTTAGAATATTTAGAATGAAATTGAGTTTGCCTGCAGCAGCAATAGCGTTTACAAGAGTGATATTATACTAAGTATTCTATACTTTTTCTGTATTAGGTGAAATTTCTATATAGTCTGAAGAAATCAGGAGCAGAATACTACCCACCTTCCCACCCTCTGGCCCCTGGAGAAATTTCTGGATAAGACAGTGTTATGATGGGAATCTGTCTGTTGAGGCAGACAACAGACTGGTGATCCCCTAATGCTGCCAGCATTCTGGAATAAATGAGGCATTATCACCTGTGCCTTAAAAAGTATGACATCTTACAGTGGTTCTTAACCAAGGGAGTGTTTTTGGATGTCACACTGACTTGACAGGTAGGAGTGTAGAAAAACTGCCAGCATTTAGTGGGTAGAGGTCAAGGATTTTATATTTGTGCCTGCACGAGGAAGAACTGCCCTGTGAAAAATGCTATTGAGAAATATTTATGTGAACAGCATATACCAACAGGACTAAACATTCAATAGGAGGATTCCTTAGAATCTTAAATGTAGAAGATAGATGTGACCAGTATTGATAATGTCACACACCATGCTAGTCAGTTTACCTAGTGCCAAAAAGGGCTTTTGCTGTTTTTGCATTATTAAATGTAATATAGTGGACATAACCATTAAACATTTGAATTAGTTACATGGTGGTAGCAAGAAATGGAGAACTCATGTTACTAAAAATTTTTAAGAAAAAATGTGTAATCTGTATAATGATTCGAAGAGTACCTGTTGAATGTCCATTTTTGATAATTGTGTGCAAGAAGAAAGTTTTTGAACCCCAGGATAGAATAAGCATGATGAATCTAGGATTAGGCCTAGGTTCAAATCTACCATTCATAAACTTTCAGCTAGTCACCTCATGCTAGTTACTTAACTTCCTCTTTAAAATATTTTTGTAGTATATTATATAGGATAATTGTATAAGTAACCGCTTATGGTAAAAATTTAAACTTAATGAGAGTATAAATTAAAAAGTAAAAACACAGTTTCCCTCTACAATTCCCCAAAAAAGTTATTTATGTCCCAGTGATAACCAACGTTAAATGTTTTTTTCTTTAGTATCCTTCCAGAATGTATTTATAAATTGTACTTGTTTGTATGTATCCTTTAAATACATACACAGAAGACATACGATATATACTATTTCCTCCTACTTGATTTTTATTATTTAATGTATCTCAGGTACATTTTTGCATCAATATAAAAATCTACCTCATGCCCTCATTGTGTTCATCTTAAATAGTCTATTTAACTAGTCCCTTCTTGATAGATATTAGGGTTTTTTCTTTGGTTCTTTTATGTATGTGTGTGTGTGTGTGTGTGTGTGTGTGTGTGTGTGTGTTTTTAAGAGACAAGGTCTTGCTCTGGTGCTCTGTCACCCAGGCTGGAGTACAGTGGCGCTGTCACAGATTATTACGGCCTTGAACTCCTGGGATTGAGTGATCCTCTGTCTCAGCCTCCCTATCAGCCTCCCTAGTAGCTGGGAGTACAGGCATGTGCCATCTCACCTAATTTGTTCTTTCAAATTTTTTGTGGAGATTTGGTCTCGTTATGTTGCCCAGGCTGGTACTGAACTAATGGCCTCAGCAGTCTTCCCATCAGTCTTCCCAGGTGCTGGGATTACAGGTGAGCCACTGCACCTGGCCTTTAAAAGAAAAAAAAAAAATGGAATATGCTGCAGTGAATAACCTTATAGCTTTAGGGTTTTTGTTGCTTGGGTTTTGTTGTTTTTTTTCTGTTACAGATAATGAATATGTTTACATCTTTTTGTGTGTGTGCTAATCTATAAGATAAACTCCTAGAGAAGAATTGCCAAATTGAATTGGCAGACTCATTTTTTATAATATAATTTTTATTTTGAAATAATCTCAAACTTACAGAATAGTTGAAAGTACAGTACAAACATTTTTCTCTAAACCATTTGTGAATAAGTTGCCAACCTGATGGCCATCACTCCTGAGTATTTTAATGTGTATTTCCTACAAGGACATAGTCACAAGACAACCATCAAAATCAGGAAATTAACGCACTGATGCATTACTATAGGTTGAGCATCCCAAATCTGAAATCCTCCGGAATCTCAAACTTTCTGAGTACCAACATGAAATTTCAGATTAGGGGATTTGGGATGCCCAGTTGTAAATATATAATGCAAGTATTTCAAAATTCAAAAAAATACAAAATTTGAAACACTTCTGGTCTCAAGCATTTTGAATAAGGGATACTCAACCTGTATGATCTAACCCACAGATCACTTTCAGCTTTCTCCCATTGTCTCAATAATGTCTTACTATAGAGTCCTGGATTACATTATCTTGTCCTGTCTCTTTAGTCTTCCTTAGTCTAGAGCATTTCCTGTTTGTCTTTAACTTTAATGATTTTCACACTTTAGAAGACTACAGGCCAGATATTTTGTAGAATGTTCCTCACCTGTGCCTATTTCCTCATGATAGAAGTTCTACATTGTAGTCCTGGTGCTCTGTTCTAATGACATCTTTTTAGGTGGAACATTATTCTCATTTGTTCCATTACTGGGGATGTTCACTTCAATCACTATTAAGGTGGTGTTTGTTAGGCCTTTCCATTGTTAGGTTACTAATTTTCCCTTCCTAATAGGCAGTTTTGGGGGAGGGACTTTGAAACTATGTAAATACAGTATTCCAGTGATCATCAAACTTGTAACTTGTTCATCTTTTAAAAAATGTATAGCAGTGTGGACTAGTGGATTCTGACTCAGTAGGTTATAATTTGTAACTATTATTTGGATTCTCAGATTGTCCCATATTTGAACATGCAGAACTCCTTCAGGCTGTCTTCTGTGTCCTTTTGCCATGTCTCCATTATTCTTTGTGCATTTCCTAGCATTCTGGCACAAGGTGTATTCCAAACTAATTTTATATGTGAAATCAGCCGTTGCTCCAATGTGATTTCTTTTTAGTGGAGAATGGTATTTAGAATGCAGGGTCTTCACTTTGCTTATGTTTATTGCATTTGGGATATTCCTGCTCCCAGACCCTCTAAGTGGAAGGAACTAGGGATGTACAGGAGTGTGTGTGTGTGTGTATGTATAAAACCATGGGTTCACACAGATGTCTCCAATTGCAGTTCAACACCACTGGATTCATTCTAGTTTTTTCCCTTTCTACATTTGTTATTCCCTTCTCCAATAGTGAGAAACCTGGCTTCCATTATCTTCAATGTATTGTCTATTTGGTCATCCCCCTTCCTAACCAATCTTTGCTGCCCCCAACAGGTGCCCTTCTTGCCCAACTTGGGCTCCACATTTTATGCCAGGCCACCCTCCCATCCTCTAGTGTGGGTGACTTCGTTCTGTCCAGGCTCTGACACACCAGCCACACCATGCTGCCCCTCTCCAGGAATGCCCTCCTTGCTCTACTTGGGCTTAGACACCTCATCTTAGACCTGGCATATCTTAAATTTTGACAGATACTCTCAAATTGCCTTTGAGAAGGGTTATGCCAATTTATGTTTTCATCTACAGTTCACCTTTTCCCTCATAAGCTTGCTACACTAGATAGTAAACATGTTAGTCATTACTGACCTCATGAATGAAAAATAAAATTGTATCATTTTGATTTGGATTGATTTTTTTAAGTAAGATTAACCATTATGTTTTTCTCTGAGCTGTTACCATCTTAATCCTCAATTTCATTATCTGTAATATATGGCTAATAATATTTATTAGAGTCATGAAAGAATTACATTATTGTAATGGTTGGCCTGGGCTACCATAACAAAATAGCATAGACTGGGTGGCTTAAACATCAGAGATTTATTTTCTCACCCATTCTGGAGGCTGTGGAGTCCAAGATTAAAGTGTAGGTCGATACAGTTCTTGGTGAGGCCACTCTTCCTGCCTTGCACAAGGCTGCCTTTGTGCTGTGTTCTCTTGTGGCAGAATGAAAGAGTGCATGCTCTCTGGTGTCTCTTAAGGCACTAATCCCATCATGGGAGCCCTACCCGCAAGACCTCATTCAATCCTGATTACCTCCCGAATACCATCATATTGAGGATGAGGGCTTCAACATAAGAATTTTTGGGGGGGTTTTGGGGGGCCAGGGTACAAAGATTTAGTCCAGAACAATGATACATATGTAAACAGAGTCTGGCACAAAGTTGGTATTCAGTAAACATTAGTCTCCTTTTTTCTCTCCCCTCTAATGTACTTAGGAGTTTGGATTTTGGATGATGTTTAATATTTATTTAGAATTTGAGCTGTGTCTGACATGTATTTAGTAATTTTGAATATATTCAAAATTAAGCTTGTTAAATTTGTGAATTATTTGATAATTGATTTATTTTGCAGTATTAGAAACTTGTAAATTTAAAAAAATTGCCATTAAATGTTTTTCCACAAGTACTTAATAATGTGGTTATTCATAGAAAGACACATAAAATAGTAACATACATTATTTAGGGGTATATACAGATTGGAATGAAAAACCCCCAAATCAAGATGCTGGTGCTTGGGAAGGGATAGTGAGAGGTGTGAACCAGGATATTAAACACTGAAAAACTCTTTGAAAAACTATTTGGTTAGCTATTTCATTGGTTCTATGGAATGAGCAAGCAGTAAGCAATTGTGGTTTAAGTAGTGTTTAATGTTACTACTTGTTTGTTAAACATTACTCATTGAAAGATGTGATGAACTGCGAAAACATTGAGAGGAAAATAAGTTTCAAAAACTGTATACAGTTGACCCTTTAACAACATGGTTTGAAGTGTGAGGGTCCATTTATACACAGATTTTTTTCAACTAAATGGGAAAAGGAAGTACGATATTCACAGGATATGGAACCCACCTGTAGAGAGGGCTGACTACCACTTGGCTAACCATGGGACCTGAATATACATAGATTTGGGTATACTTGGGCTGTCCTGGAACAAGTACCCCGAGTATACCGAGGGATGAGTGTACTCTTCTTCATAAGTATTTAAAATTTACCAAATATCCTTAATCCTTTGTCTGGTTGTGTACTCTGGTGTACATGTAATGTTTGGTGGAAATTGTATTGTTTATATTCTAGGACATGTTTCTCTACTCACCTCTCTCATCCCACAAATTGCCTTTCCAGTGATTAGCATGTATGTAATAAAGGATTTATTCATTTGACATGTATTTGTTGAGTGTTTCCTATAAATCTGGTACTGAAAAGTACAGAGAGAATGGTATTAGCTGCCATTTATCAGTACTAAGTGCTTTACATACACAGTGTCATTGAGTCTTCATAGCTCTTTGAGGTATAAGTTTTATACCTAGGGATCAGAAAAATTTAATTTACCCAAGGTCACAGTTAATTAGAGGCTGTCTTGAAGCAAATTTGACTTCTATAGATATTTGTCTTTGAACTTAGTAAGTAGTAGTTAAGGGAGAGAAGAATCAGTGGTTTTAACACCAAGCTAGAGTGCTTTAGTATTTTGGAAGTGTTTATCCTGGGGTGGGACTCAAAGCCCTTTTCTCCCTACCACCAATTAAACCATAGCAACATTGCCTTTGTTTCTCTTACCTGTTGGGCTTCTGAGTAAGATGTAATTTGGTTTCCTTCAACTGATAGTAAAGTGCAACAGCAGTTCAAAAGAAACAGATTACTTCCAGTTATGTACAGTGCGAGGTAGCAACCTTTGAACAGGGCTTTCAAAAGAAACGTAGGAAAGGGGTTTTCAAAAGAAGGGAAAAGGTGTAGGTGCTTTGAAGTGAAAAATAAATGTGTATGTATATTGTATTTGCTTATGAAATAGTAGTTGCAAATGCAGGTGGTTTGTGGCCTCAGCATGGAAAGCTTTAAGCCTCTGACCAGTTTGGACTTAATCCTTAATTAACTAGATGAGAAGTGGTTTTTAAAATGTTTTGTTTGTTTTGCTTATGACAGTGATATGTGTAAGTTTCCTTTAGGCAATATGCTGAAACATTAACCCAGCAGAATTAATTTGAAAAGATAGAAAGACTAGAGTCAGGGAGGTTAATTAGCAGATTGTCGAAATAACTCAGGTGAGGACTAAGGGCGAAATAAATTATTATTAGAAATGAAGTGAAGAGAATGATGCCACAACAGTAAGGGAGGTAGAAGTGATGAAGCATTAGCAACTAGTTTGATATGGGGTGTTGAGAATAAGAAGAAATCTGGGGTTGTGATTTTGCCCATGCGTGTCTTAAGAATATGCATGGTGAAGTTGAGATTGGATACCCTTGACTCAGTAATTTGAAGGGTAGATCAGAATGAGGGTACCAAGATGAGATGAATCTAGGGCATAAGGGCTTGGAAAAGATGAGAGTAATGGTTTTTGTAAATTTTATGGAATTAAAATTAAAGCCACAAATCTACCAGGTTCAGGAAGCGAAAGAAAAAACAAATACATTTTTAAAAATTTATGCTGGAGAGGATGTGGAGAAGTAGGAACGCTTTTACACTGTTGGTGGGAGTGTAAATTAGTTCAACCATTGTGGAAGACAATGTGGTGATTCCGCAAGGATCTAGAACTAGAAATAACCATTTGACCCAGCAATCCCATTACTGGGTTATACCCAAAGGATTATAAATCATTCTACTATAAAGACGCATGCACATGAATGTTTATTGAAGCACTATTCACAATAGCAAAGACTTGGAACCGATCCCAATGGCCATCAGTGACGGACTGGTTAAAGAAAAGGTGGCACGTATACGCTGTGCAATACTATACAGCCATAAAAAAGGATGGGTTCTTGTCCTTTTTAGGGACATGGATGAAGCTGGAAACCATCATTGTCAACAAACTAACACAAGAACAGAAAACCTAACACCGCATGTTCTCACTCATAAGTGGAAGTTGAACAATGAGAACACATAGTAGACACAGGAAGGGGAACATCACACACCTGGGCCTGTCGGGGTGGGAAGCAAGGGGAGGGATGGCATTAGGAGAAATACTTAATTCGTGTGGGACTTAAAACCTAGGTGATGGGTTGATGGGTGCAGCAAACCACTGTGGCACATGTATTCCTATGTAACGGACCTGTACATTCTGCACATCTATCCCAGAACTTAAAGTAAAAAAAATCCCAAATCAACAAAGAGAACCAACAAAGTGGAACCATTCTGCCAGACTTATATTTTTTTTAATTGTTGATGAAAATAATTGGGTTTGGATTTCCTTTTTAAAAAATGTAAGAATAGTTATGAATGATTATGAAGTTATTTTGATCCTTTGTTTCAGACTCTGCCACAACTGAAAGCTCACCAACAGCCTGCCAATAAAAACATTGTTTATGACTTGCTTTTTGTTTGAAGTTCTCCACTAACAGTTTTGGTCCTTGTTAGAGAAAATATAGTAGCAAAGTGGTGCCGTGCTACGTATTGATTTCTTAGTCACTGACTAGACATTAGATCTGCAGGGTATACGGGTGTTTGCATTATGATAACCTACAGAAGTGAAATTTTCAAAAAAAATAATTTGTTTCATACACCCTCAGCAGGAACACTTGTAAATTTATCTCAGAATCACTGGATATGGTGTGGCTTCATTATCATACTCATGAGTATAGTGATGCTGTTTGTAAGTATTGCTCTTCTCTTTTACACACACCTAAGATGGTGAATGTTCAATTTAGTATTTTTCTTTTCATGTAATGTTCTGTATATACTTGCATGTTTTGTATTTGAAGAAACTTGGTTGGAGATTAGGTTGTTTATGTTCAGAATACCTTTATTTTTATGGAATAAGAATTCGATACTCTTGAAAATTGGTGTAGAATAGAACATTTGCAACCCTATTTAGTATGAGTGGGATTTCCTTTTTACTTTTCTCAAAAATGCTATATTTCATGCCTTTCAGAAATTTGGAAATGTATGTTGCAGAGTAGGGGAAAGTAAGTATTAAAAGAATTTTCTAAGTTGAAAGAAGATTCTTTTTGTACTTAAATGTCAAGGTGATACTTAGGTGAAGTATGTCTTAGATCTTGGATAGCTCAGATTTTTTAAATTTAAAGCTAGTCACAGATGTAATTCTCAACTAGCCAAAGTGAAGAAAGCCCAATTTGGGACAACGTCTAAAATAAGAATTGCTAGAAACTTATGTATTAGGCATCTGTTACTGGTTATTTCCAATTCTGACTTTTTAAAATGTAGGGTTTTTTTTTTTTTTTAAACCAGTACACATCTGGAGGCATACACATTGAAGCAAATACAGCTGTGGTTATTTACATGATTAATCACAATTCTGGCAATGCATTTAGTGTTTAAGGTAAAGTGTATGCTTTATAAGGCCATCTACATATTGAAGGATGGCATTAGACATGAGGTATATCAGATATCATGGGTATCATTGTTTGGTTATATTTTGTCCTTTTCAAAACTATTTCTGGAGTTAACCCTTTAAAACTGAGTGATTAAAATTGCTTGGTTGTCAGTGTAGTGTTAGAGTTGAAAATTAAAACACAATTCAGAGATCCAAGAAGATGTCAGCTAAACCCAGAGATTACAATAGTTACAGCTTTTTCATGTTATACATTGAGTAGAGTTTGTATGTATTGTAACTTACATATATTGTAACATGTATGTATAGTATAGAGAATTTGTAAGTGTTGGACATACTATTTTGGGGCATTATACCCTATCACATAAGCTTTTTATGTAATATAGTTAAGTACATAATCCAGGTTAATACACTGTTTAAAATATCCATCCAAAATAGATTCTGGTTTGTCAGTGTTAGCACTATTTTTCTTAACAGTGCTCATATTAATTTTAACTGCTTAATAAGTTGTAATAGAAAGGTTATTTCTCAGATTCCTCATCTATGATAATTGGAAGGGTGGTATGCTATTACGTAGACATTAGTGCTTCTTACTGCTTAAGATAATGGTATTAAGGCTACAAAGTTTATCTAGATTTATCAGATAATTAACGAAGAATTTGGCCAGCTCTTTCGTCTTTGTTTACTCAGTAGTGTCATAACTATGAAGTACTGTATAGTAATACGAAAGAACTATAGAGGTATTGTTATGAATCTTTTTTATATGTTCTACCTAAAATGTTGCTCACAGTATTCTTTTTCCCCCTCTTCATGAGCCAGTTCCTTTTTCCTGGGACTTTATCTCTACTTTTTCCTTTCCTTTCCCAGCCATTAAAATAGGGTGAGATGGTTATTAGACGAGGGAGAGATGCTTTATCTTTGTTGTAAATGATCATCAGAGTTTAACTTTATAAACTAAAAAAATTGTACCATTCTTAAATATTTTTCCCCTCTCTAAGTTAAAAGAAGTAAAGTCAACTTGAAGACATCACTTAATAACTATTGAAATAACATTTTGAATCAAATCATAATTAGATGAAAAATTTTGTTTCTTAAAAGATAGTTGCTTTAAAAGATAAGGCTCTACAGTATTTTTCAAAGACTTACAAGGTTAGCAGAAAAGTGTAAAATATTATTTTATATTTCTGGCTTGAATCTTTTGACACATGATTATTTCCTTTTTAGGGACCAATGCAGATGGAAGCGACCTACTTAACAGTTTAGGAAGCTGGTTATTTGGAAGTGGTTCAAGCTGAGTAGAATCTGCTTGTTGTCTTAGAACCTTGAAACAGTTCTGTTGTGATTTTGAGTTATGTCACCCCCTTTACTCAAGAACATAGTATCTAGTCTTTATTTAAATTATTTTTTTGTAACATAAAACTCCATTAGACATCTTTATAAAGACTCCTTAAAATAACTATCAAATAGATAATTTCTATTTCCAGGCTCAACCCACATAGCATATTTAAAGCTTGAGATTTGAGGTTAGAGAATAGTGGTAATACGTACGTACTTTCTCACCATTCTAAACAAAAGCTGAAATCTCAATCTAAACCTCCCCTCTACCACTACCAAAGGGAGGAAGAAAATCTAGAAAACTAAAAACTACAATATTCTTCTTTATGCATATTTATGTTTATTCTTCCTTTAAAAATATAAATTTTGTATCAGTTGTATTAGGCAGATACTAGTGGTGGCTTACAGTTTGGTCTACTTTTAAATATTTGTATATAAGTTATCCTTACGTTTTGCAGTTTTGAATTTCACACTGGTATCTTCCTGCCATTCAACTTGCTTTAGGGTTGTTGGTGTTGTGTTTTGAAAGATTGTGAAGTCGACCTTCTAAAAATGAGTTCAAAGAAAAATCAGTAAAGTAAATATCCTCCTGAAATTGTAAGTTTCTTGGCAAGTAGAATTTTTTGTATTAACTTCTGTTTTAGGTTATCTGCAAACTCAAGAATTGAGAGAACTAGACAGCATAAGCTCAGATTTAAGGAAGATACCATTTTTCATAGATATGGTTTTAGCTGTTTTTGAATTGTGAGTGTTCAGTAGCAAGCTTTTCAAAGTTTTTGTAATTGTGGAAATAATGTATGAGAAATATTTAGACAGCATCTGTTTCTATTTTTAGACTGGGCTGGCTTAGATGAAGATGAAGATGCACATGTCTGGGAGGATAATTGGGATGATGACAATGTAGAGGATGACTTCTCTAATCAGTTACGGTAAGTTTTAAGCCAGATTTTTATTGTAGTTCAGTATTAATTATAAGCATGGAATATGTAATTTACATAGATGATTAACCTCTTAAAAGCTACTTAATCTTTGAAATAGGTTTTTGAACTGTGTAAAGTAAGACATATTGTCTTCATCTCCTGTGATTCTAAACATGAACACTTTGTGTAATTGCATACAACTTTTATTCTTTCTGGTCTTTTTACAAAGGTAGTAAAATAGAAGCATATTTGCTATTTCTTATCCTTAGGAATTTAATTCTGTCAATGTTAATTTTCTACCAATATCAAATAACTCAGCAGAAATTAGAATCATAGAGTGCTGGGACCTAATAGATTGGTGATTCTCAAACTGGAATGGAGATTGGGGTTGTGAGAATGTACTGTGTCATATTCATGTATAAATCTACCTGATTTCATTTATTTATTGAGGTAAAATTCATGTAACATAAAATTAAGCATTTGAAAGTGTACAGTTCAGTGGCTTCTAGTACATCCTCAATATTGTGCAACCATCATCTCTATTTAGTTCCAGTATTTTCAGCATCCCAAAAGGAAACACAGTACTTGTTAAGCAGTCATTCCACGTTCTTTCTTGCCCTAATCCCTGGCCGCTGCTGATCTGCTTTCTATCTCTAAGTATTTGCCTGTTTTGGAAGCTTCATATAAATGAAATCATACAATATTGTGACCTTGCGTGCGTACCTTTTTTCACTTAGCATAATGTTTTCAAGGTTCATTCATGTTGTACCATGCATCAGTACTTCATTCCTTTTTATGGCTGAATAATATTCATATACATGTTCCATATTGTATATTCCAATTTATAATAATACTATATGGATATGCCACGTTTTATACATTCATCAGTTGATGGACATTCAGACTGTTTCCACCTTTTAGCTATTGTGGATAGTGCTGCTATGAACGTACGTGTACATATATTTGAGTACCTGTTTTCAATTCTTTTGAAAAGAAATTTTATATATATATATATACACACACACACACACACACACACACACACAAGTGGAATTGTTGGGTCATACGTTAATTCTATATTTAACTTTTTGAGGAGCTGCCAAGCTGTTTTCTACAGCAGTTGAACAATTTATGTTCTCACTAGCGTTCGTACTAGCAGGGTGTGAAGGTTTCAGTCTCTCCACATCCTTGCCAAAACTTATTTTTCTTTTTTGTTTTAAATTATAGCCGTATTTTAATCTATTTTTTCTTTTGTTATTTGTGCTTTTGGTGTCATATTTAAGAATTCATTGGCAAATTCAATGTAATGAAGATTTATCTTTGTTTTCTTCTAAGAGCTTTATAGTTTTTGCTCTTACATGTCAGTCTTTGCTTTGGGTTAATTTTTGTATATGTTATGAAATAGGGCTTCAGCTCATTCTTCTGCATATAGATGTCTAGTCTTTCCAGCACCATTTGTTGAAGAGACTTTTTTCCCTCCTAATTTTATTTTGATTCAGGCTGTATTTATTTGTCTTGGCTACAAGAATAAATAGACTGTCATATACTTTGCTCAAGTAAAGATATAGAAGATATATGTATTCCAGTCTTCTAATTTACTAGTCTAGTAAGCTTGTTCAAACAGAAAGTGAAATAGTTTATAATAAATTTTTAAACTTTGATTTCTAATAGTAATGCAGTAGCACCAGCTCCTACACTGCATTTTTTTTTATTGGCTCTATAAAGACTTAGAATTTTGCTGGAGACTGATAATAATTTTACCTATCTACTTTTTTTCTCATTTTTAGAAATAGTATAATTTACCTTTCACTGTTATACTGATACTTCTACAGTTTTTCATTTCCGTGTCTCAAATATTGCTGACTGATTTTTGACTACATCTTTTGGTTCTTCTAGTACCCTGAGATGTAATTATCCAGAGCCTTGAGATTTTAAACTGCCTTAATGCAGTTATCTTACCTGTCTTAGTTTTCAATTTTGTCTTAATTATGTTGTTTTTCCTTTTATAGTTTTATGGACAAGATAAAAATGATAGCTATTGAACAATAATCCTGCTTTTTCTCTAAAATCTGTTAATGTTACATCATCTGTTCCAAGCATTGTACCTGCTCTTTCTCATTCTTCATGATCAGTATATGGCTCTTAGAAGCCCCTTCTGTTCTTTTTACAGATTTCAGTTTATTTCGAGGATCAGATTAATTCTATGTGTACAAGCTCATGCCCTTTCTTTTTATATCTGTCTTTGTTTTATGTCCTTCAAAAAATGAGCCACATTAGAGAACACCCTACTAGCTTTTGAAAAATATACATTCCCTTTTGTTCCGCCTTGGCATCATTATGCTATTAGACTATTTATTTTCAGGTCTTCCAAATGCTGTTGATCTCTACTCTGTGTTTTTAATCACGTGTCAGAGTTTTCTTCCTGATATGTTTTTGACATTTTGAAATTGAGGCTAAACAAGTTTTCTTCCTTTGACATTCAAAATAGTCAAATTTCTTTGAAGTTTTGTTTCTTTTATGTCTTTCATTAGCACTTTTCTCTTAAAACTGATTGATACATTGTTGAATACTATAATTTTTACCAAGAAACTTTCAGTAGTAAATGTATTGATAATTAGATTTCACATCATTACATGTTGCCTTTTTATTGCTTTAGAAATAGAACATTATATATTTGTGGCTTACTGTTTTTATAATACACCCCCACAGTGCCATTATGTACTCTTGTGTTTCTGCCTTTAGGTTTGTGGATTTCTATAGGTATATAAATCTATTTTTGTTGTTTTTTCACTGTTGTTGTTTTTTGCCTGAGGTATATAAATCTTGATGCCTCCATTAGTGAATAAGATTTTTCTTTTTATTTCCCCATTTGAGTCATGAGTTCTTTCTTCACTAAGATTGTTGCCACATTGCCAGTGGTGTCAAATAGAACTTGCTGTAGTGATGGAAATGTTTGAGAAGCTGCTGTATAGAAGCAATCAGTTACATTTGGCTACTAAGCACATGAAATGTGGCTAGCACAGCTAAGGGACTGAATTTTTTGTTTTATTCAATTAAAATAGCCACATATGACTACCATATTGAATAAAACAGCCTCGCACAATCCTTGCTTTAAAAAATTTGTCTTGATTAAAAGACTCACACAAAGTTATTCTTCCTAGTCTTTTCTGTAAAGTACATGGAAACCCTTAACATAATATCATAAGTCATGGTAAAGAATGGAGTTTACTGTTGTCTGATGTTATTTGGTCCTAATCCTATTTAACAGTGGAGAGGCATCTCAGACTCTAGTGTGAATCAGATTGCTGGGGTTCCAACCCCAGATCTGCCTCCTATTTAGCCATATGAACCTTGGGCAACTCACTTAGCCTTTCTGTGACCTACTTTTGTCACACATAAAACTCAGATGATAATTAGTGCTTTACTGCTAGAGTTATTATAACGTTTAAGTGATTTAACATGTGTAGAGTGCTTAGACTGTGGTGTGTGTGTGTTAAATAAAAACTGTCCATGTCGCAGGCCCCCCACTTTCCACATTCGTCTTTCTCTTTCCGTGTAATTACCTTTAACAGAAGTAGAAAGAATAAGGCCACTTTGTTCTTCCAGGTAACTCAAAGTCATTCTGATTTTGCAGCTTCTGATATCATTTGTTTATGTATTAAGAGAAATAGGTAGTAGTATGATTTTTCTCAACCCTATTTCACGTCTTACATAAAAACTCTAAGAAGCCAGTATAGGCCAGGCGCAGTGGCTCACACCTGTAACCCCAGCACTTTGGGAGGCCGAGGCCGGTGGATCACGAGGTCAGGAGATCGAGACCATCCTGGCTAACATGTTGAAACCCCGTCTCTACTAAAAATACAAAAAAATTAGCTGGGCCTGGTGGCGGGCGCCTGTAGTCCCAGCTACTAGGGAGGCTGAGGCAGGACAATGGCATAAACCTGGGAGGTGGAGCTTGCAGTGAGCCGAGATGGCACCACTGCACTCCAGCCTGGGCAACAGAGCGAGACTCCATCTCAACAACAACAAAAAAATCCAGTATAGTTCCTGATTTACCAAATCAGATATAGCCATTGTCATAAAGCTGAGTAGTTTCTTGGATAGTAAGAGGACTTTTCAAACCTACTAGTGGCCATTAGTCTTTTTTCTTGTTTTGTTGCACAAAGACTGCTGCTGTTTTCGTTTCAGATAGTGTATGTTCACTGTGTATGTCGTATGATATTAACAGTTGTGCTGAGGTTTTCTATTTTTGTCTTTGTTGATTTTTCCACTCAGCAGCCTCATGATTATTAGTGTTTTTGTTTTGTACTTGGTGGCCTCAATTTTTTTCTTTTGGTTTTTTAAATTCTAGCAAAGAATTTTTCATCTTTTCTAAGAATTTAGCTGATAGAAGAGCATTTCATCATCTTGTTTGTGATTGTAAACAATTTATACATGCAGTTAGTGACCAGCCACCTCCCATTAGGAAAGCCAATAGACACAAACCTGAAGGACAGATTTGGTATACTTGTTACTTAAATTGTAGGTTGAACTTTGGGGTTTTTTTGTTCATTGTTTTTGTTGCTGCTGTTAAAGTGAATATTCTACAGAGTAGAAAACTAAGGTTTAAGAAAGTTGTAAAATTACTTTTATTTTAAATAAATTATAAAATTTTAACATGAGATAAAATTCAAAGACAGTTACCACATTCCCTCAAGATTGGCAGCAAGAGTTTTTGTATGAAACATTTGAGTTTTCTGTGATCATCAGAATCTTTTAGCTTTTCCTTTCAGCCTTGACTCTTATTTTAATGTATACTACATTACATTTGTATAACTTTCTCTCATTTAGCTCTCAAAACAATGGAGATAAGTTGTTATAAATGAAGGGCAGATACTATAATCTCCAGTTTCCTGAGGGGCAGGGGAAGGGCCCAAAGGAAGCAAATTAGTTAGCAAAGGAAGGGCCAGAGTCAGAGTCTTGCACTGGAGTCTTGACTCCTAATCCAGGGTTTATACCACCACCCCATAGCAGAAGACAAGGATGATTCATTTGAACAATCTGTGGCCTTGATATAATTTATGGAAATTAGCTCACTATTTGTATTCTAAATAACTAAAAATTTTAGGAAAGCAAAGGAGTTTTGAGAAATGAATGCTAAATACTATACATTATTCCGGTCATGTGTTTGCATTGGAATAGTGTAGTGGTGTCTAAGCCAAATTTACTTGAGAACAAATGTCTATCTTATTGGATGTAATGATGTAAAGCATATTAATCATACTTTAAGTTTACTCAGTGTTTTATCATGGATTAGCCATCTACTAATTTTGTCATAAACTTTGAATTGTGGCAAATAAGGTTAGAGCAATACATATATGTCAATATGGAAAGCAATCTGTTTATTCTTTCTGCATATACAACAGTAATATAGTAATACCTGTTATGATCATTGTAAAATCCCTAAAGGTTTGATAGTGATGTGTACTTTGCCTGAGGTTAATGAGTCTCAAAACTTATGTTTAAATATTTATTAGGAACAGAACATTCATATAGCATTTGGAAAGTATTTGAAGGATAGCAGTAAGTCCCTCACATTTCTTCCACAAATAGACTTATAAGAAAATTAAGGAAGATAAAATACAAGTTAAATAATGGGAAAAACAAAATTTTATAGTATTATATTGACTCATATCCAATTTTCTTATGTTTTTTTTTCAGAGACAAAAGTAAAACTATTCAGTGGTATTGTAAATTGATGTCTCAGGCATAGCTCATTTATTTGTTTATTTATTGTATTGTTTCTAAAAGAATGTTTATTATAAAGAATACCTAGTGATGTTCTTTCTGTTTTATCTTAGAGCTGAACTAGAGAAACATGGTTATAAGATGGAGACTTCATAGCATCCAGAAGAAGTGTTGAAGTAACCTAAACTTGACCTGCTTAATACATTCTAGGGCAGAGAACCCAGGATGGGACACTAAAAAAATGTGTTTATTTCATTATCTGCTTGGATTTATTTGTGTTTTTGTAACACAAAAAATAAATGTTTTGATATAATCTTGGTTTGGTTCAGAAGTCTTAATCTTTTGCTTCTAATCAATTTTCTTGTCATGATTTTCCAAAACCTTATTATATATAGATAGTAAAATTTCATATTATGAAATTTTCTTTTTTTTTTTTAATGTTAACTGAGTGAGGCTCAGGTTAAATGATCTGGAGTAGATTTCACCTGATTCCCAATTCAGTACTTTTCTTAAACCACATCAATTAATTGTTACTTCTATTTTATAAGGAATTTCTTTTACATCACATTGAACCTTAATCTCTTCTGTATTTTGATAGCTTAGGCAACATTTGCTGACATTTATAAGGTGACCTTTCAAAACCTGTGTTTTAAAAATATTAATCATTTTAAATTGCTGTAATTTACTTAGTTCCTGAGCCATTAATAATATTATTAATGGTTGTTAGCGTATTATTGGTACTTAAAGTCCAAAGTAGTTTAATCACAGTAAGAATGGTGTCTTCTATTAAAATTGAGGAAGTGGGCTCAAGATACTTTATCAACAAGTGCATATTTTCAGGTACTACATAGCAGGCTCATTTAGTACAACTGAGTTTTCACAGAGTGATAGCTGTTGCCACATCACTTTTGTGAATGGGAGATTTAATTTGGTTTGTAAAGGATTCTTTGTGATGACTTAAATGTACGGGGTATTTTTTAGGAATATTTTCAAATGTAAATGTTGTTACTAAGAACTACAATCAATCTGTAGTGTTGAGTAATTTCAAATGTAAAATTTATGTAACAATGCAGTGCAGATACCAAAATAGGGGTTGGTGGCCTGAAATACAAGTTATACTTCAAAATGATTTTGAGCATAAATATGTTTCTGTTTTTAAGACAAGCATAAACCTACCTTGCCTGCCTAACGGAACTGCTAGATGATCAAATGGAATAAGGAACACCAAAGAACTTTGGAAAGTATAAAAGTTTTGAATGGATAAGTGATACTTTTTTTCTTTTTTTTTAAATTATTATTATACTTTAAGTTTTAGGGTACATGTGCACAATGTGCAGGTTAGTTACATATGTATACATGTGCCATGCTGGTGTGCTGCACCCATTAACTCGTCATTTAGCATTAGGTATATCTCTTAATGCTATCCCTCCCCCCTCTCCCCACCCCACAACAGTCCCCAGAGTGTGATGTTCCCCTTCCTGTGTCCATGTGTTCTCATTGTTCAATTCCCATCTATGAGTGAGAACATGCGGTGTTTGGTTTTTTGTCCTTGCGATAGTTTACTGAGAATGATGATTTCCAATTTCATCCATGTCCCTACAAAGGACATGAACTCATCATTTTTTATGGCTGCATAGTATTCCATGGTGTATATGTGCCACGTTTTCTTAATCCAGTCTATCGCTGGACATTTGGGTTGGTTCCAAGTCTTTGCTATTGTGAATAGTGCTGCAATAAACATACGTGTGCATGTGTCTTTATAGCAGCATAATTTATAGTCCTTTGGGTCTATACCCAGTAATGGGATGGCTGGGTCAAATGGTATTTCTAGTTCTAGATCCCTGAGGAATCGCCACACTGACTTCCACAATGGTTGAACTAGTTTACCGTCCCACCAACAGTGTAAAAGTGTTCCTGTTTCTCCACATCCTCTCCAGCACCTGTTGTTTCCTGACTTTTTAATGATTGCCATTCTAACTGGTGTGAGATGGTATCTCATTGTGGTTTTGATTTGCGTTTTTCTGATGGCTAGTGATGATGAGCATTTTTTCGTGTGTCTTTTGGCTGCATAAATGTCTTCTTTTGAGAAGTGTCTGTTCATATCCTTCACCCACTTTTTGATGGGGTTTGTTTTTTTCTTGTAAATTTGTTTGAGTTCATTGTAGATTCTGGATATTAGCCCTTTGTCAGATGAGTAGGTTGCAAAAATTTTCTCCCATTCTGTAGGTTGCCTGTTCACTGTGATGGTAGTTTGTTTTGCTGTGCAGAAGCTCTTTAGTTTAATTAGATCCCATTTGTCAATTTTGGCTTTTGTTGCCATTGCTTTTGGTGTTTTAGACATGAAGTCCTTGCCCATGCCTATGTCCTGAATGTTAATGCCTAGGTTTTCTTCTAGGGTTTTTATGGTTTTAGGTCTAATATTTAAGTCTTTAATCCATCTTGAATTAATTTTTGTATAAGGTAAGTGATATTTTTATAAATATAATGAAGCACAGGCAGCTATGTTGATGTTGTAACATGCTAAGAAGTATTTTGATGTGCATTTTCTCAATATTTTGGTCTGTGGTTACAGGATGTGGTCACCCTAACAGTGTCAGATTACTGACAGTATTAAGTGATGGCCTGAATGATGGCCACTTAATGTGATGATTTTAAATTATTGAGGTATAATTTTGAAACCTCATAGGAGTTGAGCAGAGGCTTTAATGGGTTATTTGTAGTTATCCAGTGTTTTGTCCTTAATTAAATATCAAAATTTAGGTAGTAGTTGTTAAGGATTGGGTACCCGAAAATTGGTATTTGACATCAGGATGATAAAAACACATCTGAAGTAGGAAAGGAGATTAGTCAGGCAGATGAAAAAAATTATTATTTGAAATTTTACAATTTGTAGATTTCTCTCATTTGACCTTCACAGTGACCCACCCTGTGAAGCAGGGAGGAGAGGCCTGTTTATTGTAAACAATTTTGTCAAATAGAAAACAGTCTCAGAGTAAGTTAGGAAGTAAAAGGGCCCAGGATTGCAACAGCTAATAGGTGGCATATACAGAGCTAGAATCTAGGTTTCCGGACTCTTGGGTTTCTTGCAGATATTTTGGAAAGTGCATGAGTTCTGATGTTACTTCAAGGTTTGACTCATAATTAGACCACTTATTAGTTGTGTGTTAAGTTTCAGAACAGCCTATTAACAGTTTTCCTGTTCTATAAAATGGAAAGAATCCCTGCAGGGCTGAGCTGAAGATTAGCATGTGATAATATAGTGGTGGTAATCAATCAATTTTTTTTTTTTTTTTTTTACTGAGCCATGCTACCACTTATATGGGAGTTGCCTTACCTCCCCTTAATAACTGATGCTTACTATGTACCAGACGTTGTTCTCAGCTATTTATATGTGTTAATCTTCACAACAACCCTGAGATAGGTAATGTTATCATGTACATTTCATATATGAAGAAAAGCACCAAGATGCTGAATAATTTGCCCATAGTCACTCAGGAAGTGGTTCCAAACAAAACGAAACAAAAAACGTCTTCAATGGAAGGGACTATTCTGCACAACTTAGGGTTTCTCTTTCAACAGCACTTAATATAGTCTTACATAAATGCTCCTTAAATTTTAGTTGAGTAGCTACACAGAAAAAATGAAGTTTGCTGCAAATTTACTCCATGGTAGAAGTTTTTATTGATACAGACATAAATGTTTCTGTTAGCAATGACTCCCTTTTTTCCCCTATAATTTTTCATAATTATTTTCCAAAATTCAGTTCTGTTTGAAATGAAATTGTAGATGTAATAATGGTCAGCATTTTTCATTAGGCCTTGGCATAGAATTGCTGTAGGGGATGGCATGTCCATCCTATTCCCACTAAAAGTTTAGAGGACTATCATAATGAGCCAAGTCCCTTTTGAAAGATTGAATGTTATATTAATAATGCTTTCTACAGCATGTTGTCGTCTGCACTGTATATTTTTAAACATTTATATCCTTCCTGTTCCACACTTCCCATTTTGAGAGAGGTAACACATCCCACCCACTTGGCAGAGAGCTGACAATTAGCACCACCCTCATTCCACCCATACACATGATGCTGGGGGACTGGCCTTGGATTTTCCAGCTACCTTAATGGCTCCTATTGCACTCTGCCTTTAAGTGTCCTGAGTTTACTTCTTGCTGTATCCATATGTTCTCTTTAGTAATCTCACCAGTGTCAGTTGCTTTTAAACCAATTCCACATGTATGATTCCAAATCTCCTGTTTTGACCTCTCCCTGAAACTCTAATCTCATATATTCAACTAACAACTTGATTACCTCTCCATGTCTGAGTTAAAATTAACTTGATGAGAAGAGAACCCTTCATTATCCTTCTCAAACCTGATCTTTCCTCCAGTCTTCCCCACCTCAGTAAATAGACCCACATTCAACCCAATTGTTTAAGCCAAAAATATAGAAACTTATTGAATCTTCTGTTCTCCCAATATCCAATCCATTGGTGAGCCCTATCAACTCTGCCTCAAATGCATATTTCATGTAGTTAGTACAGTGCTTGCCTTTTCCATTCTTCCCTTCCCCTTTCCTAATGAATCCTCATCTCCCCTGCCTCCCCCGCCCCCCAAACGGTTAGATATCCATCTTTCTTTCACATGGGCCAAGCCTTCTTTCACAAGGCAAGCCAACACCATTCCCAGCTCAGGGTGGGGTGTGTTTCATCTTAAGCCAATCTTAGTAATCCCGTGCCCCGTACAAGTGATTGGATACAAGGATGGACAGCTTTAAATAAATTTGGGGCAATGAATCAAAAGTGGGGCTAGAAGCATCTGGCAGAGAAAAATCCTGCTTCATAAAATAGCACACAAAGCCAGCCTTTCCCTCCAAATATAAATAAGGGAGCATGTAGTCTCAATTGCTAGTGACAGTCATATAACAACTATTGCAGTTTGAGGGTGAAGATTAGAAAGTCTGGAAGAGGATTCTTTGATGATGTCATTGAACTTGCTCTAGGACAAGGCCTCCTGTAAAACAAGCCTACAAACGTCCTTATTTTTAATTTTTTTTAATTATACTTTAAGTTCTGAGTTACATGTGCAGAATGTGCAAGTTTGTTACATAGGTATACATGTGCCATTGTGGTTTGCTGACCCATCAACCCATCATCTACATTAGGTATTTCTCCTAATGCTATCCCTCCCCTAGTCCGCCACCCCCTGACAGACTCCAGTGTGTGATCTCCTCCCTGTGTCCATGTATTCTCACTGTTCAACTTCCACTTATGAGTGAAAACATGCGGTGTTTGGTTTTCTGTTCTTGTGTTAGTTTGCTGAGAATGATGGTTTCCAGCTTCCTCCATGTCCCTGCAGAGGACATAAACTCATCCTTTTTATGGCTGCATAGTATTCCATGGTGTATATGTGCCACATTTTCTTTATCCAGTCTATCATTGATGGCCATTTGGGTTGGTTCCAAGTCTTTGCTGTTGTGAACAGTGCTGCAATAAACATACGTGTGCATGTGGCTTTATAGAATGATTTATAATCCTTTGGGTATATACCCAGTAATGGGATTGCTGGGCCAAATGGTATTTCTGGTTCTAGATCCTTGAGGAATCGCCACACTGACTTCCACAATGGTTGAACTAATTTACAGTCCCACCAACAGTGTAAAAGTGTTCCTATTTCTCCACATCCTCTCTGGCATCTGTTGTTTCCTGACTTTTTAGTGATCATCATTCAAACTGGCATGAGATGGTATCTCACTGTGGTTTTGATTTACATTTCTCTAATGACTAGTGATGATGAGCTTTTTTTAAATATGTTTGTTGGCTGTATAAATGTCTTCTTCTGAGAAGTGTCTGTTCATATCATTCACCCACTTTTCTAGTATTTCTAGTTCTATATCCTTGTTTCAAGTATTTCTAGTTCTATATCCTTGAGGAATCGCCACACTGTCTTCCACAATGTTTGAACTAATTTACATTCCCACCAACAGTGTAAAAGCGTTCCTATTTCTACATCCTCTCCAGCATCTGTTGTTTCCTGACTTTTTAATGATCGCCATTCTAACTGGCATGAGGTGGTATCTCATTGTGGTTTTGATTTGCATTTCTCTAATGACCAGTGATAAAGAGCACTTTTTCATATGTTTGTTGGCTGCATAAATGTCTTCTTTTGAGAAGTATTTGTTCATATCCTTTGCCCACTTCTTGATGGGGCTGTTTGTTTTTTTCTTGTAAATTTGTTTAAGTTCTTTGTAGAGTCTGGATATTTTATCTATCCAAAGATAGACAAAGGATACAATGTATCCTTTGTCAGATGGACAGATTGCAAACATTTTCTCCCATTCTGTAGGTTACCTGTTCACTCTGATGATAGTTTCTTTTGCTGTGCAGAAGCTCTTTGGTTTGATTAGATCCCATTTGTCAGTTCTGGCTTTTGTTGCCATTTCTTTGGTGTTTTAGTCATGAAGCCTTTGTTCATGCCTGTGTCCTGAATGTTATCGCCTAGGTTTTCTTTTAGGGTTTTTATGGTTTTACGTCTCAAAATAGTAAGAGCTATTTATGACAAACCCACAGCCAATGTCATACTGAATGGGCAAAAACTGGAAGCATCCCCTTTGAAAACCGGTACAAGACAAGGATGACCTCTCTCACCACTCCTATTCAACGTAGTATTGGAAGTTCTGGCCAGGGCAATCAGGCAAGAGAAAGAAATAAAGGGTATTCACATAGGAAGAGAGGAAGTCAAATTGTCTCTGTTTGTAGATGACATGGTTGTATATTTAGAAAACCCCATTGTCTCAACCCAAAATCTCCTTAAGCTGATAAGCAACTTAAGCAAAGTATCAGGATACATAATCAATGTGCAAAAATCACAAGCATTCCTATACACCAAGAACAGACAAAAAGAGAGCGAAATCATGAGTGAACACCCATTCACAATTGCTACAAAGAGAATAAAATACCTAGGACTACAATTTACAAGGGGTGTGAAGGACCTCTTCAAGGAGAACTACAAACCACTGCTCAAGGAAATAAGAGAGGACACAAACAAATGGAAAAACATTCCATCCTCATAGATTGGAAGAATCAATATCGTGAAAATGGCCATACTGCCCAAAGTAATTTACAGATTCAATGCTGTTCCCATCAAACTACCATTGACTTTCTTCATAGAATTGGAAAAACCTACTTTAAATTTCATATGAAACCAAAAAAGAGCCTGCATAGCCAAGACAATCCTAAGCAAAAAGAACAAAGCTGGAGGCATCACACTACCTGGCTTCAAACTATACTACAAGGCTACAGTAACCAAAACAGCATGGTACTGGTACCAAAACAGATATGTAAACCAATGGAACAGAACAGAGGCCTCAGAAATAACACCACACATCTACAACCATCTGATCTTTGACAAGCCTGACAAAAACAAGCAATGGGGAAAGGATTCCTTATTTAATAAATGGTGTTGGGAAAACTGGCTAGCCATACATAGAAAGCTGAAACTGGATCCCTTCCTTACACCTTACACAAAAATTAACTCAAGATGGATTAAAGACTTAAACGTAAGACCTAAAACCAAACGTCCTTATTTAAGAAATCTTAGGTTGGGTGTTTTGTTACTTGTACCCAGAAACAGCTTAACTGATAAATTAAGAATCTATCTACTCCCACTACTATTATTAGTACTATCACTGTTGCTTATTAGGATTTACTGCAATTATTACCTAGCCAGTCTCCCTACTTCTACTCTTTCTGCCCTATAATCTATTCTAGAAAAAACACCGCATTGTTGAAATTTAGATCATGTCACCATTTTCCTCAAATGCTGTCAGTGCTTCTTAAAAGCAGCATAAAATCTAAACTACTTGTAAAGCCCAATGTAGTCTGGCTCCTGCCAATCTTATTGACACACACCACTTGATTTTCAGTATTGTCATATTTTGATCACTTCTGAAGAGTAAATCAAAGATATATCACCCAAGCAAAAAGTGATTAAACTACATGCAGTTGCTTGAACATGGAAAGGCTAGGTGATTTTGCACCAGTTGTTCCCTGGGATGCTTGCCCTCCTCATCCTCTTAAGTCAGGCCTTCCCTGATCATTTAAGCTAAGGTATCTACTTGATTATTCTACAACACGACCTCCTAAAAATTGCTCTCCAATACTGCCTGATTTTTTGTTCACTGCTGTTGCATTGCAATAGCCAACTCCTTGTGTGTCAGAAACTAATGACAAACAATGGCCAGAATATTGATTTCATTTTGCTCTCCACATATTTGCCTTGAGGGTTGATGGGTTGTCAAAAAGGTTGATACAAGGATAAATTCCATTTTATATTAACCGTAGTTTTAATTCACTGGTCAGGTAGAATCGCTATAATGTTATTCTGATTCCTCTTTAGCTGTCATGAAATTGAAGAAAGCTTATACTCCTACCCTCTTTGTTACCCTTGTAAGACGACTTTCTTAGACTAGGTGACTATTAGAGAAAGTCTTGCCACTTTTCACTGATGAGGATAATATTTAGAGTTACAGGAAGAACCATTAGCTAACATTCCAGTAGTGCACAACACATTTAAAACTCTAGATTATCATCTTTGCCTGGGCCGGCACACCCCTGTTTACAATGTAACATTGTGTATTTCTCCTCTTAGTTACTCTTTTTGTTGTTGGTTGTGTTTATTAATGGTTTTCTGTTATAGACTGTATTCCTTAAAAGTAGAACTCCCATTGTATTCATGTTTATATCCCCTTGTCTTACTGTGGGTTGTCTCAGAAGCAACTTAGAATAGAGATAAGGATTCAAATGTGAGTATTTTATTACAGAAGTACTAGGGGAGTGGGGAAGTGAGTCAGGAAAGAGAGAGAAGCTAAAAAAGAGTGTATATCTAGCAAGTTACACCATAGGGAATTCGACTTCAGTTCCACCTGGGAACTCTAGGAGGCTATATACAACATATCTTAGAGTTATCCTGTCCTAGGGGAGGGGAGTCAGAGTATTTATCAACTCGTCAGTCATTGGTTGAGAGTTACTCAGGAAAATCCCCCAGTATCTTCTGGTATGACCCATGTGTGGGCAGAGTAGGCTCTGGCTACCACAGAAAGTATTCAGACAGAATTACAGTCGCTGGCAGCTGAAAGTGGAGCTTTCCTGCGTGGAAGTGGTAAATGATGAAGAAATAAGGGCAGGGCACCAAGCACATCTGCTACATCACTTGGTGTGTCTTAAATATTTGCTATAAAGTGAATCTTAAAACCATTGAATCAAGAGATCAGAAGAATGATTGGCAGAATCAGCATAGATTAGGAAACAGTAGAGACCTTTTATAACAATGGGAGATGGGCTTTGCCTTTCTTCTTGATTGTGAGTCACAAATCTGTGTAATAAGCCATTTCATATCTAATTGGTTGTATCTAGACAATTTAAACCTTATGTCCTGGCAAAAGAGGTCAATCAGATCACTAATGACTAAGAAATATACTTTTTTATTGCTGCCTATGGTGAAATGTCTTTCAGAAAAATCTTCATAGCTTTTTGCTTTGATTAAAAATAATGGCATCATTAAAGCTCAATAACTTCAACAAATCGATCACCAAGATTAATCCCTTATTTAAGGTATAAATGATGTGCTTTTGTCTATGTTAGGGTTCATAAATAAAGATTTAACAAAGATGTTTTAATTTTTCAAAACTCGTACTCAAAAACAAAGACTCCCGGTTGGTATTTTATGTATAGAAATCCATGGTCCAAGTTAATAGGATGTGTCTTAATGATTTTGATGATGATATTTCAAAGTAGTGGAATGGACAGGATACTGATTTTATGAGAAGAACAATTGCTTCTTTTTGCTAAAGCTAATAAGGCCACTACAATGAGCCACAGAGATGACAATGTGTGTTTATGTCTTTTACTATCTTTCAACAATTACTTCTTTGGTGATTAAAAAAGGCATATGCAAAATTACTTTGGTTTCAGGGACATATACATCATTCCTCTTAAGTAAGACAGTTAAAAAAATTAAAGCTATTGATTTATATATTGAAGAAGTTTCTTCATATTTTATATTTAACTTGTTAAATAAGTCTCGTTTTGGAAGCTAAGTTTTCACCATTTGATACAAGTCTATATAATACTAGTTCATAATGTAGGGACTAGACCAAGACTATTGTATCAAACAGTGCTGCTAGATTTTATTTTGCTTTACAAATTAAAATTTATTGTTGTAGACTAATAAAATTGTCTTTAAGTCAACTGACTCTGAAAGAGAGCATATATACTTTTATTTTTCCATGTAAAGCTTTTTTCTTAATTTTTCTTATCCAAATTAAACTTGATATCTCATTTTAAAACTATTTCAAGGTACAGAAAAATTTAGGAATAGTCAATCAGGAATTAAATGAGTGATGTCAAATGGTGTTCCCAGGAAATTGTGGGAAAGGGTGTGAGTATGAGGCTCTAGGCAACCCTCTTTTGTTTCAGTCAGAATAGTTTGACTTTTATTTGTTTTAGACATTGGAATTCAGCATACGATTTCATTTGAAAACTTGATTCTGCTGCCTTTCTTTTAAAGTTTGATAACAGTGATCTAGATGTTCTACATTACTGGCAATTTCTCCTAAATACTACCAAGTAAGTTAGGTTTTACTTTCTGTCCAGATTCAGGGTACAACCACTTCATACTGTGAAAATTATAAACATTTTTCCTAAGTTTTCTGAGTCTCTGTCATCTATATATTTGTGACCATGATGTTAGACTTATAGAATTGGATGGATGCTTAAAAAGCATCTACCTCTACCACTTCATTTTACAGATGAAGAAATAACCTCAAAGCCATTGTGACCCGTCCCCAAGGTCACATTGGGCAGAATCAAGAAATGAATCAAATTGGGTACTCTTCTCACTGCACTGAGATTTCTCTTTTAGAGGTTCTATTTCACCAATTTTGAATATGGAATATTTGCTAGATATTAGGAAACATAAATGGCATAAAGAAAGGATGAGAACAAATAACATTGCAAAAGAAATTTATTCATTCAACAAATATTTATTGAGCAGCTACCAAGCGTCAGGCATTGTATTCACTGAAAGTAGTCTGTTAGTTCACATATGAAAAACGTATGTGTGCTTTATGTGATGATTGTTAATGCAAGTTAAGTAGATTGCTCCTGGACTTTAGGGTGAAAACTTCTTTTTAAATACCATAGTGGACATTGGTTTTATCTTGGCTACTGGGAAAACATTGTCATTTAGGTTGCTAATAACATCTAGATTTTTTATGGGTAATTAATACCATCATCTCCTTTCCCTACTCCCCTTCCCCACCCTCTTTCATTTTTCTGCCGTCTTGGTGAAGCCAATTGAGGACTTTCTATCTTAAAAAGAGATAATAATGATGAGGAAAACTGTCCATTCAGCCCAGACCACTGAATAGTTCCTGCTCTGAGACCCTCTCCCCATCAGAGCACCTTTGATCCTATCTCCAGGCACAGCTCTTCAATCTCATGATGGATTCTAATAACTCTCTCACTTCCTTTCAATAAATCCCCTTTCTGCTTAAGTTAATCAAAGTTGTCTTGTGTTGCTTGCAACCAATTAACCCTAAATGATATCTATATCTCTTTGTGAGAGATTCTGTAATTATTTATCATATGTGACAACACAAACTGCTAGAGAAGAACAAGATCTGTGAAATTAAGGCCTTTGTCTCAAAGTCCAAAACCTAAGTCACTGTACCAAGAAAAGATGACGATAACCACCAACTGAACCTTTTAGCTCTTTGTTACCTTAACAAGCTTGATGTCGGGAGACCTGTTACACAATAAAGATAATTCCCTTCTCTCGATTATCTTCTCCCCATTTAGAGACGACTCCTGAGAAGCTGTCCTGGGCCTCTTAGGGCTGTGAAGCACTGTCATCCTTTTCCCAGTCTTCATTTTGATCTGCTAAAGTACCATTGTGCTGGCCCTCTGCTGAGTGCTGTTGACCTTGTTCGCTGATTGCTTTTAGTGATTCCCTTCGGTGATTGATGGAACTGACTGGACAGTAATAAAAACAGGGCTGATTTGCTTTATCTTAGCAGGATTAAAGCCTGAAAACAAATCTAATTTTCTTTTATGGGGAATGGAAGTAGGAACAAAAGATTTTGATCAGTGTCTTAAAGTAACATGAAAGGAAGACTGGAGGACTTAATATGGTAAAAGGAAACTCTGTAAAGGAAAAGAAGCATAACTGTTAGATTCCTAATGGAAGGTGTGGTGACTCTCTAATTTCCTTCTTAACAATAATGCTGTTCACATGCTAGGCATGGTATATACTAGCCCATAGATCCTCTGTATAAATTTGTGATGTAAAATGAGAGAAAAAGATATGGGAAATGTAAAACAGTCATGGGAAAATTGAAGAGGTTGGAATAGAGCATTGTACAGCAAAATTTGTCATCTTTACCGTTCCGTGATATCTCTCAATAAAATTGGCAGAAATGTAGCTTGTAGGAAATTAATGGAAAGTTCTTGAGTCCTTTACTTGTTTTTCTTTCATTGTTAATGAATGTAAAGGGTTAACTATTAAAAACTGTAGCATAGCATGGAGTATTAAATATTTATACATATATTTTACATTTAAATTTCAACCCTTTTAATAATTGTGGGTAAATAATAGGTAACAGACTGTGGTCAGCCTTATCATAGGAGGATGAATTGTTGCAGGAACATTCCTTCTTTCACATTTTCCTGGCAGGAATAAAGAGGTTGTTCAATCATTCAACCTATATATAGGTAGAGAGAAAGGCAGCAGAAGAGCCCAGTGCAATGTCATTGCATTACTGTAATCATAAAACTGTCAATGACTTAATCTCCAGGTCTTTATTTCACAACTGGAAAATGGGGATGTATGGGTCAAGGGCAGGGCCACTGCCAGCCTAAACAATGCCTCTATGTAAACAGGAAAATTTCACCCCTTACTGCAGGATAATTTAGCCTCATGAATTTGGCAAATGGAGCTCAGGCTAGATTTCAGCCTCTGGTTTCTTTTGCTGGATTCTCTTGTACAGAGTACAACCTACATAGCTGTATATAACAGCCCTGGTGTGAGTTCTTGGTTGCCTGCAACAGAATCCAACCCTAAATATGTTATGCCAAATGAGAAGTTACTGGCAGAATATTGGAGTTCACAGATTAAGAGGAACTTGAGAAAGTAACTGAAGCTAGGACATCTCTGGCATCAGGACCTTAAAGTCTATTGAGGCTTTAACTCAGTAGCTGGACCCCAGGTGCTGCTGCAAAGGATTTGGCATCTGTCCATGTCCTCTTCCTTTGCATCACTCACTTAGGATTTACAGTCCCAAGAGTGATATTTGATTGCCTGGCCCCCTGGCTATAACAGGGAGCTGGTGGAGGAAGGAGCAGGCTCCTCAGCTTCTGAAGTAGGAAATGACAGTGAGAGCTGGCACTTAGTGTCCTCCCACTAAGACCACACGCCATTTGAGTTATCCCCAAGGAGAGACTGGGGAGTTATTAGGAAGCTGTGTATGTGTGGAGAGAACTGGGTGCTGGATAACTATAAAATGGTAAATGTCTGTTATATACTTAGCTGTTAATATCACCTAAAGGTATCTAGTTGTAGCTGCCATACAAAACTGCTCCAAAGATAGGGACATTAAGTGTTAGAACTAACGGCATTTAAGTGACCAGTTTCCTGACCCAATGTTTTAGTGCATGTCCTTTTCTCTATACATAGAAGTGACGGCGAAACTGATGGCCTGTAAAGGAAGGAATATCAAGTGACAGTTCATAGTGAAATACTCAAGATGCAATTCTATGAATTCATTATTCCTCTTGATTCTCTGTAGTTTGCCCCATACTGTGTGCAGAAGACAGTTTTCTCCAGAGAAAGGAGAAAAGACCTCAAATTTTATCATCTCTTCTCTCCAAGATAGAAATGCAACTATATTTTCCACCTTTTCCTTTTTTGCTTTTTATTTATTTTTGGGGGGTGGGGTGGGGTTCAGGATGATGGCCATGTCCATGAATAACAGAGAAGTGGTCCTGACAATCAACGATGCTGCCTGTTGGGTGGGCTGAGGTACTGTGTCCCCATGCTCCTAAAAGATCCAAAGCCTTCCATGTCACCCACCCCTGCTCCTTCTTCCTCCATGGAGGACCCTCGTGCTTGTGCACAGCTTTCCAGGACAGAAGAGAGCATAACAGGGATTCCGTTTGTTGGCTCTTGGTCAAGAGTCTGCTGATTTTTCTCTTAGATGTGATTTTTCAATGCCCATGAGTTTCCTCTGTGCACAAAATTTCTGGCCCAGCACAGGGTTCAGTGGAATTTGTCCTTCCCCTGATTCATCATTCCTATTATGAAACCACAAATTTCCTGCCATTGTATGCATTGTATGTATACTTTTATTACTTTTTATTTTGAGACAGGGTCTTGCTCTGTTGCCCAGGCTGGAATACAGTGGCTCAATCATGGCTCACGGCTGTCTTGACCTCCCGAGCCCAAACCATCCTCCCATATCAGCTTCCCAAGTATCTTCTGGGACCACAGGCATGCACCACCACGCTCAGCTAATTTTTTTGTTTGTTTGTTTTTTTAGAGAAAGAGTCTCCTTATGTTGCCCAGTCTGGTCTCTAACTCCTAGGTTCAAGTGATCCCCCTCTTGCCTAGGCCTCTTAAAGCACTGGGATTACAGGTGTGAGCCACCGCACCCAGCCTGTATACTTCTTTTGACAGACTGATGTTCATTCATTAAAATATATGTATAAACACTGCTCTATAAGCCCTAGTAATATTCTAAGCCCTGGTTGATTTACCTATTTTGTTGGTAAGTAAAGCCTAGATGACCATAATTATAGATCTGTGGTGGATCTTAACAGTCTAGTGGTGGAGACAAGGAAGACAGAAGTGGACAAATGTGTAAATATGTAATTACAAATAATGAGGAAAATAATTTTAAAGAAAGAACAGGACTCTGTAATAGAGAATAGCAAGAGTGAGACCTACCTAGAAAGAATGACCATTAGGCTTATCTGAGGAATATATAATTCATGATCTAAAAATTTGGCTGGCGGGAGTCAGGGAGAGGGGAGGTAGAGATGGGGATGGGACTGGGGCATAAGGGGTGTACATTTTTCAGGATGGGCCAGGCTTATGCTGTGGTCAAGCAGCCCACAGATCACAGTGGCTTGATACTTAAAAGTTTGCTTACACAAAGTCTGTTTTCCAGGGCAACTGTACTCCTGATGATATTGGTCTGTGAAACCCCGTATGGCTGCTATGTTCTCCACCAAAAGGGAAGAATGTGCAGTGCTTTCCTCTGCTGTTAACAGATCATCAACCTGTATGTGTTCATGGCCCCACCTAAATGTAAAGAGCTGGGATGCACAGGATTGGAGAGCTATTATTGAGCACTAGTCATGTGGATATGTGCATGGAGTCAGTAAGGAGGGAGTGGGGTGGTGCTACAGCATTTCAGGCAAAGAGAGCAGCCTGGGTGAAGGTCCAGCCTGGGCAAGGTAGGATTATGGTTAGCATACTGCAGTATTGTTGGGTAGTAAGAGATTATGATACTTCCTGTAGCTACATAACAGGGGCTTACTTGAAGGGTGACCCTATTTATTGTTTCAGTCACCAGTGTTCAGTGGAAAGTCATGTCTTTCATATAAAAAGGAGGTCAGGCACAGTGGCTCATGCCTGTAATCCCAGCACTTTGGGAGGGCAAGGCAGGTGGATCACCTGAGGTCAGGAGTTCGAGACCAGCCTGGCCAACATGGTGAAACCTGTCTCTACTAAAAATATAAAAATTAGCCAGGCATGGTGGTGCATGCCTGTAATCCCAGCTACTTGGGAGGCTGAGGCAGGACAATTGCTTGAACCCGGGAGGTGGAGGTTGCCGTGAGCCGAGATTGCACCACTGCATCCCAGCCTGGGTGACAGAGCAAGACTCTGTCTCAAAAAGAATGAATAAAAATAAAAAATAAAAATAAAAATTAGAAGAAATGACTTCCATGTTTTATTATTTTATTAATTATCTGCCTCCTAAAAGACAAACAATTAATTTTATATACTATGTGTGGTAAATATATGCATTTTTTCACTTAATTCTAAGTAGTATCATTATTCCCATTTTACAGATGATAAAACAGAGAAAAACAGACTAAGTGATTTACTTAAGGTCACACCTCTGGTAAGTGATACCCAGGCAGTCTGACTCAGGTGGTTTTTGGCCACTATACTACTCTCATACAGCTGAAAAATGTTTTCTTTGTGTTGGCCAGGAAGGACCCTGGTGACCAGGTGCCTGACCCTGTAGAAGAGGAAGTGTTATTGCATCTTGCAGGGGCAGGACAGAGGACAGGGAAAAGGTATGCATATAGTATGCTAATGAGGTTATATTTCCTTTTGGAGTTAGTGTTTATCCTAAGAATCAGATTTGGGATGGTGAGAAGCCACTATTTTGTTAGCTTAACTAGAGAGTGTCCTTCCAGTGGTGTTATTGTTGTTCTTTCATACTAAGTGTTTTTGGACACTTCAGACTATTGCAGTTGGAGAACAAAAGGTACCCCTTCTCCAGTGCCCAAGTCATAGAGACACCATCCAGGAAGTGATGGTACTCAAAATCAAAGTGTAAAAAACTAGAGTGAGGAAAAACTCAGCAGGGATGAAGCTGGAGGTGTTGGACGACTGCCTTCTCCTACCTACGATGTCTTCCCTCAAAGCTAATACTTAGGTGGGCCTGCATTTATCGTAATAATGGAGGCTCTTTCCATCAAACTTTTGGGTAGCTATCTGCAACCTTCTACAGCTCAGTGGCCAGCAGTGACCTTGGGGCAGAACAGGCACAACTCTTGGTTTCCTGCCCACCACTGTTCGCTCTTTCCTTGTAAAAGAAAAGGGATAGAAGTGCAAAGTACTACACAGAAGTCCTGAGAAGAATCACTGGGTGTGCAGGATGTTCAGTAAATAATTTTCAGGTGATTATACATGAGAGGCCATTGAGCTTCTGTTTGTCTTACTCGGAGTTACCACAGACTTTCACCCAATGAGGACACTGACCTAAGAGCAGGCACAGGCCATGTCATCAGCCAGGGAGTACTATATTTGGTTTTCTAAAACCTATTTTTATAAGAGAGATTTCTAGGATCAGATTTCCTATCCCGATATGGGCATTATGTAATAACAACAGGTTTCCCCAATTACTGTTTACACTGTGAATCTAAAGCCCTTAATAATATTGTCCAGATACCTAGTTTTTCCATTTAGGAATAGCCATAAATTGGAGTTTTTACATGAGTAATTCTGCTCTCTGAGGAGCATCCTCTCCAGGCATGCTCCGCAATGTCTTATACCTCTCAACTTTGCTTATTTAGTTTCTCCAGGGTAGGATGCTTTTTCCTCCCTTCTCTTCAATCGGTTATATGTTCATTAACTGTAAGAATTCCTTTTTTGCAGTATCCTCTTTCAGAAGACTTTTTTGAACTCCCAGGTTGAGCTCTGTGCCTCCCTTTCAGTTTTCCATCACGCTCAATATCTTTATCTTGTTCTTTAGGCTCATTCAAGTAAAATTATCTACCCTGAAGTTTCTTTTGTGGGTTTTTCCTCCTCATTAGATTCTAAAGTCCTCATGGGTGGGGATTGTCTTTACTCAGCATTTTTACCTCTAGATCTAGTAAAGTTCTTCATAAATGTCAGTTAAACCAAATTAAATGGGTAAAAGCTGGTTTTCAATAAGATGTAGTGAGAGTTCCATAAATCTATTGTAGCTTTGGAAGTGAGAATTGTTTCTACTAAACTATCACTGAAAAAATGTCACCAAAATTAAACCCCATAATGCAGCTGTCCCAGAAAAGGGATAGACTTAAGTCTTATTGCTGATTTCTGATTCTAATTTGTTTTGAAACAGGTTGTTTTTTCAAGGTGTCTTAATTTTTCTAGCTACAAAATAGCTGTGGACATTGTGTTCATTGAAATCTGTGGGGCTTGCTATTCTCACTGAGTCAGCATATTATGAATGCAGTTTATTATTCCCAAAATGTCGTGCATGCAGCTTAATCAGTGCAGAAGTGAAGACCAAGAGCCTTGGAGCAGTTGTACTGATTTGACATTTTCGTGGAATCAACAAAGAGGATATATCTCCATGAGGCAAGCTACTGGATTTCTCTCCCTCCCTATATTTCAAGCTATAAACACAGTTTCCCCATTGACATTTATTAGAAAGTAACACAAAGCAGATTGCTAGGTTTGTACTCTACAGACATTTTTATATCAGGCACATTGCATGCTCTCTGTAAATCAAGCATGATGGCATCCTTGCAGATTAAGCTCTCAAATCCTGTTCTACCATTTTAATAATTTCACTGACTTAATCTTTATATGAATGAAGTATATAATTTCCTCAAACAATGCTTTGCTCCTCTGTGTTTGCCAAAAGAATGCTTCAGTTTAGAAATTTGGTCTGTGATCTGTCAGATGAGGATACAAAAAGTTTAACTTAAACACAAACACTAGGTCACACAGGGACAGGATCCAGATGGTTTTGTATTTGATTACACCACCCTCCATCTCCCTGGCATCTATATCCTTTCTTCTATTTTCCGCCATCTGTCAATAAACCTGAACAAAGAACTTAATCACATATGCTATCAACAGGTCAGTTTGATTTTTTTTCTACCTTCTCTGTCACTGGGTGGTTAAAAAAGAGTATATTATAAAGCAGTATCTAGTTTTACATCATAATTTATGTTTTTCCCAAAGCTAAGTAAGCCTTAAGATTAAGGCTGGGCCATTTGCTCATGTAACTCCAGTATTTGAGACAAATCAAATGTTATATTTGATCTAATTTAATGAGTTAGAATAAAGTATGTTTTTCTTCCATTATTTGCTGTTAATATGAATTATAGATTTTGTTATTTATTAGTAATAAAATTGTAGATTTTATTATTACTTGATTAACATTGGAAATTTAGAATCAACCATAACAAGAAATTAACAATAGTATTTAAAGTGGTTTCAATGATATACCTTGAAGTCAGAATCACCTGATTTACTCCTGGCTCAGTTATGTACTAGTCATGTTGCCTCAGGCATGTTACTTAGCCTCATCTATAAAGGAGGTAAAGGACTATGTAACTTGCAGGATTATTGTAGGATTAATGAGATAATTTTGTACAGCATTTAGCCCAGTGCCAAATGAAGCCCTGTGTCAACAAATAGTGATCATTTTCATTATTAATATTTGTGCTACTATTAAAATATCTTTGAATACTAAAGAAAAGAGATAAAGTAATAAAATGGAGTTTTAAAAAACCACTACACTATCATGCATTTTGAAATGTGATTCTCAAGTGGGTTCATAAAAATATTTTTATTATAGACAGATATCACTCCATGAATACAATTCTCATTCACAAGTCAGGCCACTTATCTTATGTATCCTAAATAAAAGAGTGCATATTGCTTTTCTGTCATGCTTTTGACCAAGTGGGCCAACTTTATGTTATCAGCCTGGAACAAGGTTCAACAAGTTGCATCTGCAGACAAAATCTAGCCCCCTGCCTGTTTTTGTGTGGCCTAAGAGCTAATAATCACGTGTATATTGTTAAGTAGTGGGGAAATTTTTTCTATACCATTTTCTGATTCAGGAAAATTATATGAAATTCAAATTTCAGTGTCTATAAATAAAGTTTGATGGAACATAACCACACTCATTGATTTACATATTATCTATGGCAGCTTTTAATCAGCAGAATTGAGTATTTATGACAGAGACTACGTAACTTGCAAAGCCTATCATCTGTCCCTTTACAGGAAAAGCTTACAGAAAAATTGACTCCTGACTTAGAAAAATAAAAATATATTTCTGGATGAGGCTTTCGGAGTTCAGCACTCTCAATTTAAAGATCAGCATTTTAGTTTCCTAGGGCTGCCATAACAAAGTACCACAGACTGGGTGACTCAAAGCAACAGAAATTTATTGCTGCATGCTTCTGGAGGCTAGAAGTCTGAAATCCTAGAAGTCTGAAATTAAGGTGTCAGCAGGGCCATGCTCCCTCTGAAACCTGTGAGAAAGAATCCTTCCTTGTCTCTTCCTAATTTCTGGTGGTTTGCATGTTCCCTGGCTTGCAGCTGTATAACTTCAGTCCCTGCCTTTGTTGTCCCATGGCATTCTCCCTGTGTGTCTCTGTCTTCAGGGGGCCATCTTCTTATAGGGACACTAGTCTGATGGACCCGTCTACTCCAGTAGGACCATCTTATTCATTATATCTGCAAGAACCCCTTTCCAGGTAAGGTCACATTCTGAAGTACTAGGGGTTAAGATTTCAACATGTCTTTTTTTGGTAGAGGGGAAAGGAACACAAATGAACCAGTTACAATCAGGAAATTGGAGCCCTGACATATGAAGGAACTTATTCAAAGTCACAAAGAGAGTTAGTGGAAGAACCAAGACAAACCTGGGAAGCTGAATCTGTAGCTGATTGATGAATAATCTTTACACTACACCACATGAATCAAAGTGAATTAATCTGTTATATCTAATGTATATGCAATACTTAATTTCATTGAGTCCTTTTTAGAATATATCTATTTAAGCATTAATAATGAAACACACTATTTAAAGTTGAGGACTGTAATTGGCTAAAATTCCCAGTACTATAATTTTTATTTATTTTATAGCAGAGAAGAATAATTGTGATGAGGTGTATTTGTTCTATTTCAATTGTCAGCTAACCATTCTAAAAAACAGGAGTGTGTTCATAATCTACATTATGTGGCAACAGTAATATTTTACTAAATTGTCAAAATTTATACTCTTATTCAGAAGTGACAGCCGTACAAAACAATACTAAAGAGGAAAACCCAGCAATATAAATAGTAATTTAAGCACTTAAAAATAATATGATATACACCTACTATGTATGCACAAAAATTAAAATATCTGATAACTCTACAATTTCATTTCTTTTCTCAATGCCTATCACTTTTATCACCTATAGGAATTCAACTTTCAAGTTGTTTCTTTCTCAGAGTTGCTCTAAAAGTAGTATTCGTGGGTGGGTTTCCACCTCCACAGGTCTGTCACTGGTTGTATACAGGGAGCTAATAGAATTTTTCAGTGTTAAAATATGGATTGTGAAAAAGGATCCCTTCAAAACTAAAAGTGATAGAGACATGGCAGATAAAGAACGATATTGGTGTTACACAAACAGGAAGAGGAGATGGGAAATTTTAACCAGGTCATATTTACCTGTAAATACCAAACTATATTCTTTACAATATTTTTCAAGTGGTATTAGGTGTGTATATTGTGGGGAAGCTCAGGCCGTTGGGACTAAAGAAAGCCACCCATGTGATTTAGCAATGTGGTTCTCTTCAGCTGAATCCAGGCTTTTTGGTTTAATGTTTTGGAAGATTCTTCTGCTTCCATCTGCCAGCACTAAGGCAATTGAGTATGTGGCTCAGTAACCCTAGAGAAAAAACATCCCTGAATGAACCTCCAGCGGTGACATTCATATATCCAAAAGCTAAAATAATCCCAAGATTCGGGGATTATGCTTTGAAGGAAAAAGTTGACAATAGCTTTGTTACTGCACAGAAAGTTCCAAGTTTACCGTGGCCAATAGGTAATTAATTGTCATAACCTACGCCTTTGAAGTAAATGGAAGGAAGGAAAAATTACCCCATTTGACTGATAGAAAAACTGAGACAAGGGCAGCTAACTTGCTTGTGGTTACCCAGGGAATAGTTGGCTGAGACTCCAGGATTCTTGACTCCAAATTCATTGCCGTAACCACCAGACTGAAACCGGCCGCCAAAGGCTGTAATTTGGTCTTGAGGCTGTGGCTATAGTTTAGAACCACAATAGTGAGGGAAACACACTTTAAGGAGGACCTTGAAAATCTCTCAAGAGAATTATGCCTCTTTATCTATGTTTATGCAACGATTGGAATAAATGAGAGTTCCGTCCCAACCACATTTGTGGCTTTGGGTTAGGCTGGAATCCCTCTGAGGAAACTGGGAAGGTTTGTCTCATCCTTCAGCCCAAACTTTAAAACCAATGGTGTTGAATTTTTGATACACAAATCAATGCATTAACATCATGCTTTTACTTGGCAGAAGTAATATCATGGATTGCCATGGATATAGCAAGTTGGCCCAAAGAGGAGAGGACTGGAGACTTGGAAGCTAGGGGAGCATATTTTTTGGGGTCACATGGGTGATCTGGAACAGCCCTGAGGTGGGTGCTCTGCAGGGATCCGGACGAACATAGGCCTTGCATCAAGAACATCTACAGTATCTCTAGGACACAGGCAGGAGAAGCATGGTAAGAGAGAGTGGTAGAAGTAGGGTCTGACTGTGGGTACCAGGTTGAAGTCCTAGAGGGCAAGCCTCAGGCATCACAGAGATTGAGCTGTACATCTTTATGGTTGAGGCAAAAAAAAAAAAAAAAATTGGATTCAATAGCAGCATTCAAGCAATTCTTGGAAAGGTAAAGCAACAATCTTACTCCATTGAAACAAGGGTACCAAGTAATAATCATTATATTAATTATAATATCATACTACAGCTACACTTTATTGAGTACCTGCTATGAGCTGGATGTTATACTATCTCTTTATATAGATCTCATTTACTCCTTACTACAATCCAACAATGTAGGTTTTAATTTTCACATTTTATAGATGTGGAAATTGAGAGAGAGGTTAGCTGACTTACCCAAAGTCACAGTAATATATCAAATGCAGACAGGATTTGAACCCAGGACTCTAGTTCTGTTGTCCATGGTTTATGCTCATCCTTCCTGGGCTAGAGGAGACCACAGGGCCTCCGTTCATAGGCATAAGACAAGAGCCCAGTTTCCAGATCTGGGGTACAAGGATGATGCATACACTGGGAAAACTTTTAAGATTTCTTTCAAGAACAAGAGTCCTAGAGATTCGGCCTTGGCTGTGTCTGTAAGTAAGAATGTAATGGCTCTAGAGTGGGAAATTAAAGTTGCTAAGCAGGTCCTTATCCACATTTAATTTCACCCTTCCTCACAATGACAGCTTTTTTCCCACTTGCTAGTGATTAAGTGCATGGACTTGAAGTCATATGAACTTGGTTGGAAATGCTGTTTCATACCCTTACTAGCTGCGTGGTCATAGGTAAGTTACTTAACCTCTCTGAGCCCTAGCTTTCTCATCTGCAGGGCTGGTATCTCACAGGATTGTGAAGAGTCAGTGAGGACCTGTGTTGACATGTTTATCCTAGGGACAGGTTGTCAGCTCAACCTTAGTTGTTCATTGGAATCACTTGGAGACCTTAAAAACCCTTGCTGCCAGGCACATTCCAGATCAATTTATTCAGAATCACTAGGAATGGGACCCAGACCTCAGTATTTGTTTAAAGTTCCCTTTGTCATTTGATGTACAGTTAAGGCTGGAGACCAACATTTAAGTGCTATGAATAATATTTTTCTCTTGTTTAGGTGAAAGGTAATTTTCTTCCTCAGTCCAGCAAAGAATTGGTGAAATTCCTGAGTAAAAATAACTATCGCCAAGCCTTAACCATAAAAAGAGTATTTTTCTATTTATAAATAGAGAACTAACTTTTCATATTTACTCTCTCAGAAGTTTAGAGTTGCTACATTTCCTTTGCTTTTTAAGTTATCAACTTAGCTGTTGAGTTCAACAATGAACAGGAATGAGAAACCAAGGCCATATTTTTAGGCGGGAAATATACCTTCAAAATAGATCATCTTCTATCTCTTCCCTCCCCTGAAATCCCACTAACATATAGGCATTTCCCCCCTTGGTGAGCTCCTGTGTTGCAGAGGGGTCTGTGACTGAGTGGTTTCTGATAGTACCTCTGGGATTTGGAAAGCTAGAGGGATGTCCAACCAGAGAGCTGGGTCAGGGGCTGGCTGGGAGTGGGAGGCTAGGATCAAGCTGCCTTTCTGGGGTAGAGGATTGTGGGGAAAGCCAGTGGGAAGATGAGAAACCAGTGCCTATGGGAGCCCTGAGAGTTCAGAACTGAGATCCCAGATGCCAATGCTGAGCCCACTGAACACGTGTGGGATTGTGAATCTGGGAGAACTAAAGGGGAAGTGGGTTGAATCTGGAGCTTGAAAACAAGTAAAGAGGACACAGAATGATTGTTTCAGAGACTGCTGTGTGTCCACTACTTAACTTTGTGGGTGTTAGCATTTTATTTCGTGTATCTGTGGTTTATTCATTATTTCACTATTGTATGGTTTTTCACTTTGTAAACATACCAGAATTTATTCAACCATCCTACCATTAATGAACACTTGGTTTGTTTCCAGTTTCTGTTGTCTATGCACTATGTGGCTATGAACATTCCAAACCATGTATCCTGGTGTGTGTGTAAGTGTCTTTACAATGATGTGGTAGGCCAAATAATATCCTTCTAAAACCATTTAAGTCCTAACCCCCTGAGTCTGTGAACATATTGTTTTACATGGCCAAAAATGAATGTGCAGATGGGATTAAAGTTAAGGATCTTAAGAGAAGGAGGTTATCCTGGATTACCCAGGTGGGCCAAAACTAATCACCCAAGTACTTAAAAGCAGAAGATGGAGGCCAAAGAATTGATCAGAGAGATGCAACTCGAGAACTTCTCAACCTGTCCTTGCTGTCTTTGAAGATGGAGGAGGGGAGCCAAAAGCAGAAGAATCTGGAGGCCTCTGAAATGAAGAACAGCCCTCATGTTATGGTGAATAAACAGGGAACTCAGTCCTACAACCTCAAAGAACGGAATTGTGCCAACAATGCAAAAGAACAGGGAACAGATTCTCTCCTAGAGCCTCCAGGAAGGAATGCAGTCGGCTAACACCTTCCTGTTGTTCCAGGGAGACCCATATAGACATATGGCCTGCAGAATTGTAAGATAATACATTTTTGTTGTTTCAAGCCAGCAGGTTTGTGGTAATTTGTTATGGCAGCAATAGAAAGCAAACAGATATATAACTAAGAGTGGAATTACTGGGTTGTGAATTCTTGTTTTCAGCTTTGTGAGCTAATGACACACTGATTTCCCAAGGCAATTAGTGCTCCCACAAGCATTCAATGGAGTGTTTCTTTTATTCCATAACTTCACAAACACTTGGTATATTCAACTCTAACATTTTTGCCAATCTTGTGGGTATGAACTGGTTTTAATTTTTATCTTGTTACTGATGAAACGTTTCATATACTTTTGGACTATATATTTTGTTTTCAGTGAAACGCCTGCTTTGTCTTTTGCCTGTTTTTAATTCTATATTTGTTTGACTTTTATATTTTTTTCTTGAAATTCTTTATAGTGTTTATAGTGTTCCAGTCTTCTGTTACTCCTTCAAGTCTGTGGTTGTTTTTTCACTTCCTTTCTGGTATGTGTGGTAACCATGGGAGTGCACTGTTCAGAGAGAACCTACTGTAAGGAAAGTAATTAGTTGACATCCTTCATTAGCCACACCTTTGGGTCACATGCTACTGGTCAAACCTGAGCATGGTGGAGGTACTGAAGCCTGCCCAGGGCTTTCTCAGTGTGGCACTGCAGGCAGAGGCTCTTCCTATCCAATCCTTCTTCTCGCCCCTCTCTTTTCCTAGGTGTCAGGCCCGAATCATAGTCTCAGACTCTCCCCCACACTGCTGCTCCTTCTTGCCTTTATTCTTCACAGGTGCTGTCCCCAGCAAATCTCTTGCACCTTTAATTCCACCTTGTCATCTACCTCCTGGGGAACCCAGACTAGCACAGTATTTTTTGATAAATGTAATTCTACTCTTCCTCCTCTCTTACCTCCTCTTTCTCTCTTTATTTCTTCTTATGGAAATTTTAAAACATATACAAAAGTAAAGAGAGTTGTAAAATAACTTCCACATACTCATTGCCCAGTTTCAGTAGTTATCAACATGTTTTCTAATCTCATGTCATGTATTTCCCTCCACTTTTTTTTTTCCTGGAATATCTTAAAGCAAGTTCTGCGTCATATTATTGCACTAGGACATACTTCACTATGTATCTCTAATAGAGTCTTTCTTAAAAAAAAACAAAATCACATAATACCATGATTTTATCTAATAAAATTAATGATTCCTTAATGTCATCTAATACTCAATATGTGTTCAAATTTTTGTGGTCGAACAGAAATGTTTTAATGCAGCTGGGAAATCAGCTTTTTCTTTTATGGTTTACACTTTCTACATCTTGTTCAGGAACATGTGTTCAACAAAATATTCTCCTATATTGCCTTCTAATTTTTTGTACTTTTTTGCTTTTGCACAGTTAAGTCTTGAATCATATTGAGTTAGTTTTTGTGTATGATATGAAGTAGGGTTCAGTCTTTCTCCATATGCCCAATTTCACCAGTTGTCCAAACACCATTTATTGAATAGTCAGTTTTTTAAAAAATTATTTTTATTTCACTTTAAGTTCTGGGATACATGTGCAGAATGTGCAGGTTTGTTATGTAGATATACATGTGCCATGGTGGTTTGCTGCACCTATCAACCCGTCATCTAGGTTTTAAGACCCGCATGCATTAGGTATTTCTCCTAATGCTCTGCCTCCCCTTGCCTCCCACCCCCTGACAGGCCCCAGCGTGTGATGTTCACCTCCATGTGTCCATGTGTTCTCATTGTTCAACTCCCACTTATGAGTGAGAGCATGCGGTGTTTGGTTTTCTGTTCCTGTGTTAGTTTGCTAAGAATGATGGCTTCCAGCTTCATCCATGTCCCTACAAAAGACATGAACTCATTTTTTCTGGCTGCATAGTATTCCATGGTATATATGTCCCACGTTTTCTTTATCCAGTCTGTCATTGATGGTCATTTGGGTTGGTTCCAAGTGTTTGCTATTGTAAATAGTGCTGCAGTGAACATGTGTGTATATGTGTGTTTATAGTAGAATGATTTATAATCCTTTGGGTATATGCCCAGTAATGGGATTGCTGGGTCAAATGGCATTTCTGGTTCTAGATCCTTGAGGAATCGCCATAGTGTCTGCCACAATGGTTGAACTAATTTACACTCCCAGCAACAGCGTAAAAGCATTGTGATTGCTCCACAGCCTTGCCAGCATCTGTTGTTTGCTGACTTTTTTTTTTTTTTTTTTTTTTGAGACGGAGTTTTGCTCTTGTTGCCTAGGCTGGAGTGCAATGGCATGATCTTGGCTCACCACAACCTCTACCTCCCGGGTTCAAGCCATTCTCCTGCCTCAGCCTCCAGAGTAGCTGGGATTACAGGCATGCCCCACCACGCCCAGCTAATTTTTGTATTTTTAGTAAAGATGGGGTTTCTCCATGTTGGTCAGGGTAGTCTTGAACTCCCGACCTCAGGTGATCTGCCCGCCTCGGCCTCCCAAAGTGCTGGGATTACAGGCATGAGGCACCACGCCCGGCCCCCTGACTTTTTAATAATCGCCTTTGACTAGTCAGTTCTAGTCCCAAGATATACAATGTTACTTTTGCCATATAAAAGTCAATTGTTTTGTGGGTCTTTCTCTCTTCTCTATTTTATTCCTTTGGTCTAATTTATTTCTGGTTAGTACCACACTACCCTAGTCAATACAATGTATAGCAAGTCCTTACATCTGGTAGGGCAAATCTTACCTTATTCTTTCTCTCAATTATTGTCTTATTTTTATTGAATATTTGTTGTCTTATATAAAACTTAAAATCAATTTGTTGAATTCCTGGAAGCAATTTGTTAATATTTTGATTGAAATTGCACTGAATTTAAGAACAACTTGGGAAAGCATTGATATCTTAACGATTTGGAGTCTTTCCAATCCTAAATATGATATAGCCATCTCTTAGGTGCAAATGTCTTTCCATAAACCTCTATGGACTTCCCAGAGATCTTTCATGTCTTTTGAGAAGTAGCAAAGGATAGTGATGAGGAGTACAGAATCTGGCACCAGACTACCTGGGTGTGAATCCTGCTATTTACTGGGTGTGTAAACTTATGTAACCTCTCTGTGCCTCAATTTCTTCATCTTTAAAATGGAGATAATTATACCACTTTAAAGGGCTACTATAAATAGTAAATTAATATATATGAAATATTTTGAAAGAGGTCTGAGAAATAGTTAAGAATCACGTAAATGTTTACGGCTAGTATTATTTCTTCCTAGCTTCCTTTCACTTGTTCTATTTCAAATAAGACAGGATTTTTTTTGTAATTACGTTTTTCTATTTCTGATACATACATGTAACTCATTTTTATATATTCGTTTTAAACTTAATTCTGTTGTGGTCAGATTCCATTTGTTCGAAATTTCTTGAGAATTGCTGCATTTGGTCAGTTTTCATAAATATTCCATGAATTCTATTAAATAATGTGTATTCTTCAGGTGTTGAATATGGATTTCCTTAGATGTTCATTAAATTGAGCTTATGAATTGTGTTGTTCAACTCTTCTTTGGGACTATATTTAAACTGTGTGGGTTTCACTAGATCATTGGATGAAATTGAGATAGTAAGATAGAAATCTCTAGACAATTTTAAAATTTCTAAATGCACATTGGAAATTATATATATACAATAACAATGTGTTTTCTCAGTTTAAATAAAGCATAAGGGGTTTTTGCTTTTTACTGGGATTGGATTAAGTTATTATGTTCAGAGTGGTACTTATATACATTTTTATTTTTAAAATGAAATTATTGGACAATAAAATGCCACTATATTTGTACTAATTTTTTAAAAATCTCTTTGACCTATCAAGAATTGAGAGAAATGTGTTGAAATCTCTCACTATGAGAAAGGATTTGTCCATTTGTATCTGTAGTTCTATCAACTTTTGATTTATATCATTTGAAGCTATTTTATTAGTTATCTGCAATTTTAGAATTGTTGGATCTTCCTGGGGAGTTGAAATCTTTGTCATTATGTTGGGACACACTCTAGCCACAAGAATGGATTTTGTCTCAAGGTCTATCTCATCTGCTGTTATTATAGCCATCTCAGCTCTATTTTTATTAGTATTTGCATGGTTAGTTTTTTTCTGTCCTTTTATTCTCAACTATCTCATGTCCTTAGATATGTTTTAGGGGAACTGCTTATAATCAACAGTAGGTTTTACTTTTTATCCAATCTGAAACTCTTATTTTTTAACTGGCAAGTTTAATATAATCCCACTTACTGTGATGTCTGATATATTTGGGCTTGTTTTTGTTTTTTTTTTTTTTTTTGCCATCTTACTTTCTTTCTTCTATTTGATTCACATTTCCTCTGATTCTTCTATGTATCATCTTGCCTTTTGGGGGGCTTGGTGGGATATTTTGTTTATTTATTCCATTTTTCCCTCTATTAGTTTGTAAGTATTCATTTCATTTCTGTTTTAGTGATCACCCTTGAAATTTTGCAAGTAAGCTTAACAAAATTAGTAAGCAATACCAATAGTTTTTCACTGGGAAAATACACAGACCCTTAATATGCTTTAATTCTAATCAGTCTTTCTTCCATCTTCAGTATTTTGTCTCTTCTAAGACATCAGGTTTGAGATTATCACTACTTTATGCAAATAATGTTGTTTAGATTTACCTCCAGTTTAGACATTTCTTTGCTCACTTTTCCTCTTGTGTCTCTCAGGTTGTCCTTCTGAAACAAGTTTCTCTATCTCCTCTGGAAGTGCATTTAGTAAAGATCTTTTAGTTATGATCTCAACTTTTGTTTGCCAAAAATGTGTTTATATTGCCTTTGTTCTTGAAATACAGTTATGCTGAGAGTATAAGTTGGCAGTGATTTTCTGTCAGCACTTTGACAATATTATTTCATTGTTTTCTAGTTTCCCTTATTGCTATAAGGAGCCTACCTGTGATTTATGGATCGTTTTATTTCCTGTTGCTTTTCAAATTTTCCCTTTGTCTTTGGTGTTCTATAGTTTCACTAAAACCTATCCAGGTGTGGATTTCTTTTTTATTTTGCTTTTTATTTTAATGTGCTTCCTGTGTTTGTGAGTTCATATTTTCTCAATTCTGGAAAATTCTGAGCCTTGATTTTGCACGCTGGCTTTCCCCATACTTCTGGGGTTTGCTGCAGTACACCTCTGCAGGTATGGACATCTGCCAAGTTTTCTGAGACATCCACAATAATGCAACTAATCACAACTTCAGGGCCTCTACTAGATCATATGGTACCTTTGTGCATTAGAAAAAAAGGTGCCCCCTTCAAGGATGGGAACATTTGGTTCAGTGGGCAGAAAGCATGACTTAGAGAGCAGGGATCAGGGTTGGGTTTTAGTTTCCTGTTGCACCACTAACTGGATTCCTTTTTGGTGGGCACACCTAGCACAACCATTTGCCCCACCTCTGAAATGACAAAACCTGTGGTGGCTGTGGGACACTCAGCACTGTGTTAAGATCAGAGGCACAGGGAGTAGCCCCAAAGATTGCAGAAGTCTTCACGTTGTGCATTAGGGAAAGACCTCTTGATTACAGGCTGGTCTCTTCAACAATAGTTGTGCACAGACACTCTACCCATTATTGGGGCACCTTCCAACACTGAGACAAGTTATGGATACTGTCTCCTAGGAATTGCATGGCTCCTATGCACAGATTTAACATTTGTTTCCTTCTACTTGCACTCTTTCTCAGAGAAGCTTATAGAAAAACAAATTAATTGGTCATTTTTAATATTGAAAAACACCAGTGTGACTTCAAAAATTCAGATCAGTAAAGAAATTAAAAGACCATATGCCAGGGATGTTCAGCCTTTTTTCATGACATAAAATGCATTTTCCAAGCATTTCTGATCTTCCAAGTGAGTGCATAGATCAAACACAGAAAAAAGAGAGCATTGAGATTTAGTTTTAACTGAGCACTCACACTGTGCTCAGGACTGGGCTGGCACTGAGCACTACACTTCAAAGGTACAAGAGGAATATTAGCAAAACACCACCCTGGCAGTCCCTGGGCCCTGCAGCCTGGAGAGTTGCAGGCCACTGAATCACACATCCCATCCTCTAATTTCACTTGGGATTCATCGGCCTAAGTAACCTAATTGAGTGTCATAATTGATTTGGGAGACTCATTTCCTTCCCTGGAAATCATTAAAGGTGGCTGCGTCATGCTTAAAATAGCACTTTTTCTAAAGGAATCCCCTGGACTCGTTCATGAGGAAGAAAGACCCTGTCAGCAGGTGGCTTCTCAGTCCTGCCGGTCCATGACCTGCCCAGACCTGCCCTCTGCACAAAGGTTGCTAGTGGCTCCTCGGGCCTCCCCACCAGGCGCCTTTCAGAGTACACAAAAAGGGCATACTGCCATTCCTAATGGAGGCAGCCACCCTGGGCAAAGGGCTGGCCACTGGCGTTGTTGTGGTCATCACCCCAATTAGCAAGACACACTCTGTGCCACTAAAGAATTTTTAGCAGGAAATTCTTTTGTGAGTGACTCAACTTCCCTGCATGAAATACCTAGATATTGTGACTTCTTTTTCGAAGCCAATGTTAAATTCCTAATTAAACTCTTACCTTTGAGGTTTTCCAACCGAGAAAACCCACTAGAGGTGGCCCTAAGGAATTTGCAATTCCTTCTGTTGGATTTCACCAGTGAGAGGTGAAGCTGGGAATAGCCACACTGCTGAGAATACCTTTGTAGTCACAGGAGGTGGTTCTCTTTTCCCTTGATTTTAATCCCTCTTTTACTTAGGATGGAAATAGCCTGAACCCAAATCTGAAAGAGTGATATCAAGTCTGGATAAAGATGCTGAAGTGTAGGGTCACAAATGGAAAGCTCTCTGAGGTTTAATTTTGTGAAATTCATTTATCCCTGAAAGCACTTTATCCTTAAACATGCATCTGTGTCTACAATAGAAACTGCCACTTGAATTACACCTCCTACAAGTGTAAGCCACCCTCAATTTAGAATCATTTCCATAATCCTGAGATAGTCTCAAGTCTACAGATAGCATCTCAAAAATCATCTAACAAAAAACTGTTATTGATGAGGTAGGAGATTCCTTTGCCTATTCCTTGGCTTAATTGTTCTCACTGTTTCAAAGTGTCCAACTTAAATTTTCTTACTGCCACTTAAATTTTATGTCTCTGTGGAAATGAATAATAGATGCTGCATATTTTAAAGGGCTTACGACAATATTTCTTAGGGTACATAATCACAATTTTATACTATAGACTGCACATTTTAACAGTCACAGCTACAGACAGATGTATAAATTGACCCAACTTATAAATAAGCCCAACTTATTTTATATACATATGTGTGTGTGTGTATATATATATATATATATATATATTTAACATTATATTTTTTAACATGCACTCTTCAACTGGGCTATATCAGCCCCAACAGTTGGAGAGTGTATATGCTAAAACTACTAGCCCGTGGCATTCTTCTTCATTCTCATTTGCAGACATTTTGGGATTCAGAGATTATTTTTATCACTTCATCTTTTACCACTAAATTAATAAATGTAGATGATTTTGTTGTACCAAGACAGTTTTCCAAACACTGATTTTGAATTTAGATGGAAGAAGCCTGATTTTTTTTTTTTTTTTACTAGGTCCTAAACTGACTCTGGGGACTAAAGAAAAAAAGTATAACTTATCATGGAAGTTGCTTAAGTGCAAAATTAATCAGGTCAGGGGAGGATTGGATATGGAGATTAAACTGTCATGCTTGGATCTGGAAGGTCAGTGACAAACCAGGTGGGCTGCCAAGGAGGCTGGGGTAGGGTGGGAGTTAATGTCTTCTGCATATCAGAGGCTGCAAGATGGAAGCTGGCTGAGACAGTGATGTTCAGGCAAGGAAGTAAGCTCAAGGAGACAAGCAGTGAGGAGAGAATGGTCAGGCAGTAGGCATGAGGACTCCAACTAAGAATTTGGAGACTTGTGGGTTTGGCCAACCAAAAGCCAGAAACGGACACCAGAGAGATCAGGCAACATCTTGTGTGTACAGCAGATGCTGTCACCAACAGCAAAAAAATGGAATTTAATTTTGAGCTCGGAATTTGGGTGGAGGGAATCTTTACATTCCTCCTGCCCAGGGCAAGAGCCTGTTTCTGAGGTCAGACTGGACTGAGCCTATGGAGGCATGGGAGCAAAAGGACATGCTCCCCATTCCTTACTGGATGATTCTGTTAGATCCTGTGAAGAATCTGTTGTGGGAATCTGACCCAAAGTTTCTGTCATCAAGATTAATGGCTTCTTCCTATATAGCCAGTTCCATTTTCACTTTTCACTATTATAATAAAAGTTGTATCTCTAGTCCTTTGTTTTATAATCACTAATTATCAAAATATTCTAGTTTATAAGTTAGCTTTATATTCATTATGGAAATGACAAAATGGAAAAGACATAACTTGTTCAAAGCCACAGGCAACTAGTCATAAAACAAACAGGGTGAGAAAAATCAAATCAGGACCCTCAACACCTGCTGTGATGAAAGGGGTATGGGGACAGTTTTGGGAGCGATCGGTTTGTTCATTATCATGATAATGGTGTTAGTTCACGGGTGTGGAGAGATGTCAAAACTTTTTGGACTGTACAATTTAAGTATTTGCAATTGAGGCTGGGTGCAGTGGCTCACACCTGTAATGCCAGGACTTTGGGAGGCCTAGGCAGGCGGAACACGAGGTCAAGAGATTGAGACCTGGCCAACATGGTAAAATCCCGTCTCTACTAAAAATACAAAAAAAAAAAAAAAAGGTATTTGCATTGATTTTATGTCAAATATACTTTAGTAGAGCTGTTCAAAAAAATGAAATAACTGATGGTTCCAACAGCTGATCAATGTAAGTGGAAATAAGTTGCAAAGTTTGCACAACCACACAACAATGGCAATGGAAGTCTATGGTACTTGATGCCTTTCTATTTTCTCTGTCAAGACTCCTCTAACTTCTGCTTCCTTCACTACCTGGCCCAGACCCTGAGATGAAACATTTTAAACATTTTAGTCTCTGGTACCCTTAATCTCTGGTACCTCTGCTCTCACTGTGGCAGAAACTTGAATAAGTGGTAAGGGTTAACTTGTACAAAATTAACCCCCTGCTGGCTGGCCTCCCTGAAAAGAAGTTGGCTTCCTGCAGAGCTTCATGGAAACAGACTAGGCTCTAAGTGCTTAGAGCAATCAATCATTTCTGGTCAACTACTGGCCTGGAGCCTGGCCTCTCCCTATACTGCCAAGGGAGGGGACGGTGCTTCACAATAATGAACACTACTGTGGTGAGTGCTGCAGAGAGCTTGCGACATCATACACCTGTGACTGCGAATTGTGGACCTCAAATCCAGATCACACCAGGAAAGAAGCTGCTGACTCCCAGTCATGAGCCTTGAGTTGGCGGGAAATCTTGCATTGAGGTTCCATCACACTACAGATCTCAATTTACAATGGGCTTGTGTCCCTACAAATATATAATAAGCTGAAAATACCTCAAATAAAAAATGCATTTAATACATCTTACCTACCAAACATCAAAGCTTAGCCTACCCTACCTTAAGTGTGCACAGAACAGTTATATTAGCCTACAGATGGGCAAAAATTATCTGGCAACTCACTGGTAGAGTAGCATTTGCTCACCCTCCTGATGGCATGGCTGATGGGTGCTGTGGCTCACTGCTGCTGCCCAGCATTGTAAAAGAGTCCTTGCTAGCTCTAGAAAAGATCAAAATTCAAAATTCAAAGTATGGTTTCTATGAATGCCTACAGCTTTCACACCATCATAATGCTGGAAAACCATAAGTTGAACCATCATAAGTTGGAGACCATCTGTTTATGACATTTGTATCCCAGTCCTTGATTATACTAGGAGAGGGATGACACTTTCTATTGGGGAAGCTTCACAACTCCACAGCCCTAAGTTCAGCTCTTTCTACTCAAATCTGAAACTTGGCCTGGACTCTCATGTTGTAGAATTAAGTGAAAGGTGGAGACCTATGTCTTCTGTATCCATGAATTTTCCCTAGTGAACTCTAGTATGAGTACTTCTTGCCCAAATGTCATTGTTTGCACAACATTGAATAACTGTGAATGTGCCCTCCATTACAAATATAGGGCTTCCTTCCTTAAGTGCACTCTCATCATTGCTCTGCAAACCATTTAAACATACTCTTCTCTGTTCAGCTTCTAGCTGGATATGAATGTTTACAACTCTCTGTAAGTCTCCCCCTCAATCATATTCCCTCATTTGGGGCAGATGGCCTAGCTTCCAATTGCATAAAGAAATAGACACTATTAAGTATAATTCCCCGGCCCCCCAACAGACAAACATTTCTCTGTCGTTTGCCACTACTTCATTTTATCCTCTTTCAGAAGAAAAAGAGAGGACTGTGTTGTTAGGTGGAGGATGGCTTGCATTCCTGCCTTGTTCCAACGCTTACTAGCAAGCTGACTTCGGGAAGATTAGGTAACTCATCTCAGTTTCCTCATCTGTAATGCAAAGGTAATAATGATATAGATTAGTTATTGGGAGGAATAAATGAGAAAGTTGATTCTTAGCATAGTACGTGGCATTATTGGACTTAATGAACTTAATCTGTACAGGTTGTTATCAACTATCACGACTCTTCTCTAAAGTAAGTCCATTTGCCCTCCTGATGCCATTCCTCTTCCCATTGCTGGGTCCTGGCTACAACAATTACTTCTGTCCCACCTCTCTTACCACCCTTAGCTGAAATCACCTTAATTGCCTCCTGCCTGGAAAAGTAAATAATGTTTATTTGTTTATGTGTCTGGTTCCCTGTTAGAGTCTGAACTCAAGAGCTAGGCAATTATCTCTGTAGATCCCAATAAGTAGGTGAGCAATTTGTTAAATAAGTCAGATCTAGAAAACAGTCAGATTTCCTCCATTTTTTCCTATTAGGAATCTACCTTCCATTTTTTAAACAGCTGAATCTGATATCTGCCTTTTTTTGTTTTGTTCTGTGTTTTGACAGGCAGTGTACCACAGTTGTCTGCACATGGCTCCTGGAGACAGTGAGGCCTGGGTGGGAATCATGGCCTTACCATTTACTATTGTGTGACTTTGATCAAATGACTATTTACATCTCTGGTGCCTACATTTTGCACATATGTAAAATGGAGATCATAGTACCTGCCACCATAGAATTGTTGTATTAGGTCATGCATGAAAAGCATGTAGCTTAGTGCTTGGCACATTAACCCTGTCCACCATTATTGTTATTAGAATTGAGGAATCTCCAAAACCATGGTGCTGTAGCTACTAGAAAATCCAACAGATTGTGCTAGTGTGTCAACATTAATGGTTCTGTCAAAACTACAAAAAAAGTGGAAACAAAGAAAAGGGGGATCATTTTTATTCCGTTCACAGACTCTTCAATGCATGCTTGAGTGATTAACGATATGAGTGTGTGTTTTAATTCACACAATTAACTTTTCATTTCACATTCAAATAATTTGAGTACAAATTGGGAAAAACTGTACTTCATTCTTTGGGAAACATAACTGAAGATGAAAAAGAAAGTTTTCCTAAAGTAGCTTAGATTTCTTTGGGGTTTTAAATAGTATTATACCTAAAATCTATTATGCCTTCAAAGTTTCAAAAATTAATATTTGGTGACCATAAAAATTAAAATAATCCAAATAATGGATTGGATCATTTATGTAGCATATATCTTGATACTAGATAAATAAATTTTCTCTATTCTTTTTGTGTTGGTGATTATTTTTCTATGATTTCCCTCAATTTTTTACAAAGAAGAGAAGATACTTTATCATATCCTAAATATGCCCAAACTAGTTTACCAAAATATGTACAATATATATAGAATTCAAATAATTTGCATCCTTAATGTAGAATTAGTGGGAAAAACACACTCTCATTTAACAAATGGGCAACAGACATGAACAGGCAATATACAACAGAAGAAATACAAATAGCCAGTAAACACAAATAAAACAATAAAATAAAGCAATAAATATTATTTCAATATAAAGTGTTCACTTGACTTGAGTGTGCATTTAATTTTATTAAATTCTTCATGATTCAATTGCATTTAAATGAATCCTGCAGATGAAGAGACATTTTTATCTTTTCAGACAACATTATTACCTCAATTTTACATGCTATCCAAAGCAATGGGAAATAAAAGTTCAAAGAGATGGGAAGAGGTATGAATTACAATGACAAGTGGCAACATGTTAAATATTCAAACTGAGGGCCATCTGCTCTGCTCTAAAGCCTCTGAATAAAGTAATTTCCAGACTTGAGGCCAGTGCAATTTTTGACCCATGTTTTTGCATCTTAAAACCCTTTTGCAGCCAGGTGTGGTGACTCATGTCTGTAATCCCAGTACTTTGGGAGGCCAAGGCAGGCGGATCACTTGAGGTCAGGAGTTCGAGACCAGCCTGGCCAACATGGTGAATCCCCGTCTCTACTAAAAAATATAAACATTAGCTGGGTGTGGTGGTGCATGCCTGTAATCCCAGCTACTTGGGAAGTTGAGGCAGGAGAATTGCTTGAACCCAGGAGGTGGAAGTTGCAGTAAGCTGAGATCACGCCACTGCACTCCAGCCTGGGTGACAGAGCAAGACTCTGTCTCAAAACAAACAAACAAACAAAATCCTTTTGCCATCTTGCTCTTTATCAGCCCTGTGGGTTGAAGCTTCTTCTTCAGTCCTGATGATCACACATGCCTTTTACCTATGAATAGAGATGCTGCCTTTGACTCTGTCCTAGTTCTTGACTCTGCCTTTGGATTTTTTTTTTCTTGAGTCTACCTAACGTGAATTGCATTTGATAGTTTGGATATTCCAGAAAAACTTCCTCACATATTGTCTCCTAATTTATTTTAAGTATTAATAGTTATCTTTGAAAAATATCTTCTACAATTTTAATAAGATAAGGGAAATCATGATTTAAAAGAGTGTTTTTAATTGGAATCTTGAAGGAAGAGCCTAACACCTTTTCCAACATGGAATTTTAAGCTCTCTTGATCCCTAATTTATTACCACTGGCCACAAGAGGTGACATTTCCTACAAAGTTTAGGGAATTTATGGCAATACTAATAAGAACCAATCCTTGACTTGCCACCCACGTGCAGTTCAAAGCTGTTCTTCTGGAGAACATGGAGTCTGTGGTGTCTTAGACTACTGACTTTGCTGTTATTCATCCTACCCACCCTTCATTTTTCTCCATGAGTAACTGCTTTCCTCTTAGTCCTAGTAACCCAGAGGCACAGATGTCCAAAGACAACAGTCAGATGGAAATGTAAATCACAGATCTCCACACCTGAAAACACCATTGGCAAACTGAAAACCAGACTAGCTCTGGGAAGCAATTGCTATCAGATTGCACAGATGAAATTAACCTGATACACATGAAAAGGTCACTGTCTAAAGATATTTAAAAAAGAGAGAAATTTATATATTTTGTAAAGGATTGTTGCTGTTGGGCCACTTTTACATGGTGAGAGTTTTGGAGCTCTGAGTGTGTGTGTGTGTGTGCGCGCATCTGTGTGTGTTTCTGTGTGTTTGTGTTTAAATTTGGAACTTGGGGGGTTTCATTTAAATTCTAAGTAATGTCTTTTAGGGACCTACAGTGTTGTTGTTGTTATTTACAAATCTGTGTTTCTTCAGAATTTCTTATCTTTCTCTCCTTTCATGCTAAAGCTGTGAGAAAAAGCCCTGAGCTGTCTCCCTAAATGGCTGTGTCTCCTGCAGTGGCTTGGTACCATCAAGTCAGATGAAGGACACATTGGGCGAGGTGCCCATCTACTGCCTGGAGAACATGCCCAGGAGGCTGGAACCTGTTCCCTTTCAGAGATGAAATCCTGTCTTCTCATCAACTCACAAGACAAAGAGGACTTTTCTGACATCTAGCTGAAGGAGAGGGATTGTTTCAAGTCTTGTGCAGCGGAATTTCCCATAGTTTGTTCTGTTGATCCTTAGTTTTTCAAGATGCCCATAGGAAAAAATATTTTTGTGGTCAAGTCAGTTATGGAAACCTCTGCCTTTGAGCTATTTATAGCTTCTTAAGGCATATTAGCATGAACATGTTCTGAGACTTCCTGTGTTGAAAAGAAACTCTGTTTAACTTTGTTTAGCTTAGTGATTTCCAAATTTGTTTGACCACAGAACCCTTTTTTGGGAAACATTACTAATATTTCATGGAACTAGTGGGCTACAGAAAACACATGGGATATACTGATGGACGGTGTTAGGATGATGGATCAGATGGAGAGTGGGAAGAACAATGGATTTAAAGTCACAGACCTATGTTCAAGTCTAATCGGCTGTTTACCAAAAATGCAACATTTTTTAGGGAGATCTCTAAACCTCTCTCACTCTTGGTTTCCTCATCTAAAAATGGGAAATAATAATATTTATTACACAGGGTGTTTGTGGGGATGAAAGGACACAATGTGGAAGAACATGGGAGCAGGGCTTGGTTCAACTTCAATTAAATCAGACTCTTCTTGACAAGTAAACACTGGGACCAGATGACAATGGGATACTGGCACAGAAGTGATCTGCAGAAGTCTTGTTGCTGTCTACATACACATATGTGTTCCATGACTTCATATATTGTTGGAAGTAGCAGCTTATTGATGGCTTGGGGTATAGTTGAAAAGGATAGGGGCCCTTCTATAGCACCAAGTTGGCTGTCTTCAGTGTTGGTCAAGATTAGCTGTCTTAAAGTCCAAAGGATTGGACCGGCTAGATATTTTGTTGTACCTCAGAAAAATTATCTTAATTTCCTAGATATTTTGTTGTACCTCAGAAAAATTACCTTAATTTTCTACCCTCTCCAAATTTTTTCACCACAGAATATTTTTTTGGAGAAAAATTATCAATATTTTATGGAACTAGTGGGCTATAGAAAACACACAGGATGTACTGATAAAACACAGTAGTAAAACACATTGGTTTATGAATGATCTCTGTATTAAACCATCTGTACATATTGGTTTAATAAAAGTTCATTGCTAGATCTATCTGCTGAATTTCCATTCACCTTCATTAATGGATGCTTTAATTTGCAGTTCTCAAAAAGCTTTACAAATGAATTAGGGTAGACACAAAGCTGTGCCACCCAGAGCATCTTCAGTGATGTGCTGCACCCAATAGCGAGGGGGACTTTCAACAGAGTCCCCAGTCCTCAGCTCAGGGAGGCTCCACCTCTGTCGCAGAAAGCGACCTTATTGGACGTCACACCTCCTCAGGGTGGTTCACATCCAGTGACTGATCCAGGCAGGGGAAAAAAACATTGGGCCGTTTTGGCCCAATGTGAGAAAGCTCAGACAGCTGATATATGCTTCAGCACCACGCCCCACCCCTAGGTGAGTGGCCGAGGCTTTGTCAGGGCTGCACTGCAGTTTGATATGCAATCGTCTGCAAAAAAAACTGACTTGCAAAAAATTGCAGTTTGGTTTCTGCTCAGTCCTTCTTCTTTCACTTATTTTCACAAGTATCCATCCAAAATTCCTTCTGTAGAAGCCAACCTATACCCAGAGGTTGGTGCTTCGGCTCTATACCTCCTAAATACCTATTCGGTGTCTCTTGACTACAGTATTCTCTCTCTAACTTGACTGCAAGTTCCTTGTGGGCAAAAAATATATAGCGATTTCTATATGCCACAGTTTCTATGGTTGTGCCACAGATACAGAAGATAGCTGTTAAATACATTTTGAATGAAAGGATATTCCCTTTTTAAGATGGATACTTCCATTTCTGTACATAGCAAGTGGTCAGAAATTAAAAGTCATGTTAGAACTCGGGAAATTCTGTCAGTTTTTTCAGCTTTGTTTAGTGGCTCTTTCTGTGTCCACTTACACTGTGGAAATTTCTGGTATGTATTATGTTTCTCACTCCCTTCTTTTCCTCCTTTTCTTTCTATGTCCAGAACTAACATTGATGTCCAAAATTTCTCCACCTATATCCTGCTACTCCTTCTATGATAGTTGAAATGATATTTTTCTTTATGAATTGTTATTCACAGCAACCTTCTTGACTAATGTATTCAAAAATTGTGAATGCCATTTTCCCCTTAAATAGGCCCCTTTAGACAAATAACTGCTAAGCATTTTTCCCTGTGAATATGTAAATAGGTTAAAAACGAAGATGCAGCCAGTGTTGTGTGAATATTATTCCAACATTACACTTAAGATCCTTTCAGCACCATTTGCTAACATTTTGTACTCCTAGCCAAAGTGCCAAAAATTGCTCTCTCCTCATGTAATTTTCAAAAATTTCACTGGCACAAAATGAAGTAAAATCTCTATCTGCAGGAGAGAGCAAACTTCATTTAGCGTGTTTTACAAAGTGCTAAATAGGTTTTCTATTTTGGGAGTGGAGTAGCAGAACGTGAGCTTCCTGCTCTCCTGATCAAACATTTGCAATTCTGTTTCTGCACAGATTGCACATTTCAGGTTGTCTTTGGCTATATTAACATAAGACTTGTTGTTTTATGCAAAAGAAAAGAAATACAATTACAATGTGTTCATGGGATGTAATATCAGTTCTGGAAGGTTATTTTTCCTTGTCTTTAATGTTTTTATTATTTAAGATAAAATAGTGATTAGAGTCCCTGCAAGAGGCTTTTGTATTCAACTGGTTTCAGAGTAAGAGCTCTTATTTGCTATCTTCTAGGGCACCATCCAAAAGAAAACGGCCATGTTCTCACTGATGAGATATTTAGGATACCGGATCGCTAGCATCCTTTCAAGTAGCCCATTATATCCATGTCTCAAAGAAACCATACGTAACTATTTGCTGGATATATTTTCTAAGAGAAAAGTACTTGTCTCATAATATGATAAGAATAATAATTATAGCTAAGATTTATTGATTGCTTATATATTCCAAGCACTATATGACATGCATGATCTCATGGAATTGTCACAACTGCCCTCTGAGTTAGCATCTATTTGATTTGACTCCAGACCCTGAGTCCTGTACCACTTGGCAATACCATCTCTCACGTAAAGAGAGCATGCAGTGCTATACCTCACCTCCCTAGTAGAATACCGTTTAGTTCATAAGTAAACTTGACTGAGAGAACATGGAAACAGAGTTAGGGAGGTGGCTGCAGAGCACACCAGAGACCGAAACATATTACTGCTTTGTAAACTTCTCAATATTTGCACCATAAAACACATATGCTTAGAGTATTTACACACTTCTCCAGCTTTTCTCAATGCTTAATATGTGGATATATTTAATATCTAACTGTAGTTTGAAAGGAGCAAACATTCCTTCAAAACCAATGAAGGCTGGAGGATTGACCTAGGCAATTGATTTTTGAAGAGTAATGATACTAGTGAGCATTAGCCCTTTATAGATATCTGCTAATTCACCCTCTCAGAAGCTATTAACAAAGAAAGAAATAAACTCTGTGACTCTTACATGGGGATCCAATTGTATCTTTAATCTCACATAGCTATCTCTCAAGTATATATCACCATTGTGTGCAAGTATCTTAAAGTTGTGTTGCACATATCACCTGGGGAGAGGATGGCAGTCGGAGGTGGGAGTGGGAGTGGGAGTGGGCAAACAACTTCACTGAGGAATCCAGAGAACTATGCCTTGCATATTATAGACAGCCAGCATATCTGGTCCCTGTTTCCAAAAAATCTTACATGTATAGTTTGTATATTTAAAAATCTAAGCTTTTGGAAGAGAAAAAAACTCAAGACAATATATAGGATAACTAAAATAATATGTGACCCAAACAGTAATAACTACCAATTCAGAGGAAAGAGAAACATCACTGTGGTCCCAGAACATAAGAGAAACTTTGAGCTGGACTTTTAGGAATGAGCAAGATTTGGATAAACTAAGTAGTTAAGAGGTCAGCAAAGTTGTTCTGTAAATGACCAGATAGTAAATATTTCAGGCTTTGTGGGCCACATATGATCTCTTTTGAAACTACTCAACTTTACCATTGTAATAAAAAGTAGCCATAGACATATTAGGTAAGTGAATGGGCTGGGTTATGTTCTAATAAAACTTTATTTACAAAAAAGAAAAAAGGCTGCAGGCTGGATTTGTCATGCAGGCTATAGTTTGCTGACCCCTGGTACAGACCATGGAGAAGTACATCTTAGGAAAGAGGTACTCTCAAAGGAATAGGGAGGGATATATATCTGGGACAATGGAGAATGGGAAAGACATGATGAATCAGTGAAACATAATGTATGAAAGAAACTATACATGACTAAATATTCATGGAATATATTTTCTTCTTGTGGAAGGTAGACACAGCATCATCTCTACCCATAAAAGATGGCATTCTGCAAGACTGAGAAGATGCCCACCTCCATTCCCAGAGTCCAGGCCTTCATTAACTCACACGAGAACTACAGAAGCATCACCCCTAGTTCTCCTATTAGTCACTCCTCCTCAACTGCCTCTAATCCATCCATCCATCTATCCGGCATGGGTCATGTAAAGTTACAGCTGAGAAGGTACTCCCTCTCTTAAACTCATCGGGGCTCCATGTGGCTTCAAGATTGAAAATAAAACTACTGTGTATGGTATATAAACTTAAGCTCTCAAGAGTGTGCCCACTCCCTGTGCTCCAGTCATGGAACACTCTTTGCAGTTCTTTGAGCATGCTCCGGTCTCTCTTTCATGCTTTATATAAGCTGTCCTCTTTTATTGGAACATACTTCCTTCCCATCCTGCCCCCAACACCCAACTTGTCTACCTGAGGAGCACTTAGTCATTGTTAAAGACCCAGTCCAAGTTTTTCCTCCTTGGAAATACTTCCCTGACCTACTTTGTCTGGGGTTTGTGCCCGCTTTCCTGTTTCTAATGTTCCCTGAACCTACCTCTACAGTAGCAACCATATTCCATTATACAGTATTTACTTATTGACCCATCCCTCTTCCCTGCCAGACCTTGAACTCCCTGAGGGCAAAAACCTTCCCATTCTCAATCTCTGCCACCTAACATGGCCTGGCAGTTTACGAACGAACAAATGCTTAAATATTAACTTATTGATCATTGAATGAATGAATGAATATCTAAATCCTGTTGTCTATTTTTAAACACAGGGACAATTCTCATATAGTCTAACATCTGTATGATAAAAAGTATAAAGATGGCATTAAGAAAAACAGAAAGAATATGTACCAGAAAGGCTTAATAATGGTTATTACATTTCTTAAAATATATTTTCTATGTTATAAATGTACTCATTTTATAATAAAAACCTCAATATAAGATAAATAGTATATAAAAACTCTTGGAATCTGATTTAAAAAACTCTTGGAATCTGACTGGTGTGAAGCAGGTTCACCATGCACCTGTCACTCTACTTGAATGAGTCTGGTGAGACAGAATACTCACACAAGTTAATCGATCTTCTTATCTATTACACACAGAGGAGAAGATGGATAATAGAAACCTAGCATTAAGGTGGGCTGGTGCCCAACTTTCAGGAAAGCTGTCCAGGATGAACAGAGTCTTGTCTGTGAGTGCTCCACGTCACACTGCAACTGAGGGACCCTGAAAGCATTCTGCCCTGGGTTTTATACCTTGGGGGAAACTGGGTGCACAGAGCTAAAGCTTTGCAGAAAATCCTGTTTAGAATAGATAGGAACAGAGCCCGGGCTGTTCTGAACAGTCCCTCCTTATTTCAGAATGTTATATTCCCAGCACATTTTACAGTTATCCTGAGCAGGAGGAGACCTGACCTCTTGCAGTTGACTGTCATGAGGTAGCCTCTTCCACCTTCCCCCTTTAATGCTATGAAGACAGAAAAATACATAAAAATAGCAAGACAGGAAACCAAACCTTACAGAAGATCTATTGCCAGAATCTGGGAGCACTCTTTGGAATCTACAAGGCTGATAGAACTTGGTCAAGATAATCCAAACTTCTGATTGTTTGCATTCCCAAACTTTGCTTCATGAAACAGCTCATAACCCAGAGAACCAGAACTTGCTCCAACAAAAAATTATGGAATCCCACCTCCACCACACAGTTGCTGCTTTTGGAGGCTTTCTGAGCATGTCTAAACTGCCTTTCATCCTTCCACGTCATTTAGAGGAGCAAACCCCAGAGAACAAGCCAGTAAAGCAAGCCCCAGAGAACAAGCCAGAACAAGCCAGTAAAGGGTTACACCTAATGGCAAGTTACATCCTTGGAGGTAAAGTTGTTACAAAGTGATGGTGGGGACATAGACTGTGAAAAGTTGGGAATGGGCTTGGGGCAGGCTCCACTCAGGCTTCTAGATGGAGATTTAAATATTTGCAGTTAATAAGGAGAAGAAAGTGGGCAAAACAAAATCCTTTATTTTCAAACACAACCTCTTTATTATTCTTATCTTACTTAAAGATAACTAAATTTAATGCTATCCCTCCACTAACCCCCCACCCCCTGACAGGCCCTGGTGTGTGATGTTCCTCTCCCTGTGTCCATGTGTTCTCATTGTTCAACTCCCATTTATGAGTGAGAACATGCGGTGTTTGGTTTTCTGTTCTTGTGTTAGTTTGCTGAGAATTATGGTTTCCAGCTTCATCCATGTCCCTGCAAAGGATGTGAACTCGTCCTTTTTTATGGCTGCATAGTATTCCATGGTGTATATGTGTCACATTTTCTTTAGCCAGTCTATCATTAATGGACATTTGGGTTGGTTCCAAGTCTTTTCTATTGTGAATAGTGCCGCAGTAAACATACGTGTGCATGTGTCTTTATAGCATTAGGAGAAATACCTAATGTAGATGACAGGTTGATGGGTGTAGCAAACCACCATGGCATGTGTATACCTATGTAACAAAACTGCATGTTCTGTACATGTACCCCAGAACTTAAAGTATAATAAAAAATTAAAAATAAATAAAAATAAAGAAAATATGGTACGTATACACCATGGAATACCATGCAGCCATACAAAAGAATGAGATCATGCCCTTTGCAGGAACATGGATGGAGCTGGAGGCCATTATCTTTAGCAAACTAAAGCAGCAACAGAAAACCAAATACTGCACGTTCTCACTTATAACCTGGAGTGAAATGATGAGAACACATGGACACATATGTGGGAACAACACACACTGGGACCTATTGGAGGTTGGATGGTGGGAGGAGAGAGAGTATCAGGAAAAATAACTAATGGGTACTAGGCTTAATCCATGGGTGATGAAATAATCTGGACAATAAACCCCTATGACACAAGTTTACCTATGTAACAAACCTGCTCTTGTACCTCTGAACTTAAAATAAAAGTTAAATTTTAAAAAATGAAAAAAAGATAACTAAATTTAAAAGTCCAAATTAGGGCCCATAGAAACATAATGTAAAATTAGGGACAAGAAGTAGTCATGCTGAGGACTTGGAAGAAAGGAGACTGCTTATAACTGAAAATGACCAATTGTAGAATCCTGAGGAAAAAATTCAAAAAGTTGTTTAGAATTTCCAGTAAAAATGAAAAAAAAATGGCTTCTACAAAACAGTTAAAAGTAATAAGGAGAAAAGAGAGAAAGACAAAAAGTGACAGCAGGATCAGATATACAAGTAGATGAATCTGATGAGAAATAATTATTTAGTAGGATTAATATCCTACTATTATTACAGAAAAAAAATCATAGCTTGGTGCCTAGGAAATAAACTCAAAGATGCAAAGGACTAATTTGATAACTTTTCCTGGAGAGTTTAAAAAAAGAAACAAAGGTGAAACTATGAGAAAAAAAAAGAGGGAGACAGAAAACAGAAACTCAAACCAAGATAAACGCTACCGTACCTGGAGAAAAATAAAGCAATTTTTGAGGATGTAATTGAAGTAAGTTTTCCTGAGCTCAGAATATTTCCCATATGCAGACTGATATTCTAAACTAAAATCTACATAATTACAACCTGAAAATTTAAAATTCTATAAACTCTAGGTAGAATATCTGGTTATTCTATAAAGGAATTTAAAACAGGTGTCTTCAACCTTCTTCTCTGTAATCTACAAGTCAGTGGATCAATGTGTAGACTAGGAACTGCTGTTCAATAAAACTTTCTGCAATGATGAAAATGTTCTAGATGTGTGCTGTACCATATGGTAGCCACTACTCCTGTTGAGCTATGGAACCCTTGAAATGTGACCAGTGGACTGAATTTTCATTTTACTTAATTTTAGTAATTTTAATTTAAATAGCTCCATGTGGTTAATGCCACCCATATTGGACAGTGCAAATTCAGCATTTTGAGGTTAAGCTACTGTGACTTAGATTATTATTTCCGTCAATGCTTTCTTTCTCATGTGAAGGAAATAGGACTTTTTTGAGTATTCAGGAGCTTAGAAAATATACCACCTATTAATTTTGTTTGGAAAAAAAATCTTCAAAGATCTGTTCAAACCTTAATAAACATTAAAAAAAAGCACAAGAATAGGGAAGTTTTCTTATAATAGGCTCGATGGGGACTACTGAAAATAGGAAATGTGTAATGTAAAACTTAAACGTTAAAGACAATAGTCTGCCTAAATCTCCAAATTATGTTACCAAAACAGGCATGGCTAGGAAGTGGGGTAGGAGGCATGCTAAATTATTTGATTGTTTGTTTGTTTAAAGAGACAATCTGCATTTTAGTTAGACAAGAAGAAAACTATACAATGTGTTTGCACAGGTACATGTTGAATTTAAAACAAAATGTACCTTCTCTAAAAACTGGAGAAGACAGATGTAAAGAAGGGTATATTCTTGTGCTCAGGGAAAAGCTCCTAGATTTCCATTTCCATGCTTTCATTATTAAAGAACACAGAATTAAAATAATTTAAATAAGCACTAAACTCAAGAAGTTAAGTAAAATAAAGTAACTCTAAGAAAAGCATACACAAATATTAAAGCAAAAATAATTATATCAGAAAATAGAAAGATGGTAGGATTAAAATAAGCCTGAAAATTGTTTGAAGAAAAAAACTAATAGATAAATCTCTAGCTAGTCTTCTCAAAGAAAAGAGAGAATAAATACAGCTAAAACTATGAATGGGAAAGTAAATATAGTGTTTGATATAAAGTGGATTTATTTATTTTTATTTTTTATTTTTTATTTTTTTTCGGCTCCCTATTTTTAAGGAAAGAAAAAATACTACCTAAAAATATTGAAAAAATTGAAAAATTTTTAGGAAAGTATGTTATCAAAAATAACTTCTTAAGAAGTAGAACACTTGATAACCATAGAAAAACATAATATTTAAAAAAGTTTACTGGTAAGAAATGCTGGTCTTAGAAGTTCTGAGTGAGTCTTCTCAAACCTTCAAGTGTGAGATTACTCTAAGTTTTTTGTAAAGAAACCATATTTTTTAGAGCAGTGTTAGGTTAACAGCAAAACTGAAATGAACACACAGAGAAACCCCATGGTAGGGGTCTCTCCTCCTCCTCCCCCGACACATGCATAGCCTCCCTCATTTATAGCATCCCCACAGAGTGGTACATTTGTTACAGCTAATGAACTTCCAGTAACACATCATCATCCAAAGCTCATAGTTTCCATTAGGGTTCACTCCTGGTGCCCTACATTCCGTGAGTTTGGAGATGTATAATGACATGTGTCCACCATTATAGTATCTTACAGAGTATTTTCACTTCCCTAAAAATCCTCTGTTCTCCACCTATTCATCTCTCCCTCCCACTACCCCCTGCCAACCACTAAAGTTTTCACTGTCTCCATAGCTTTGGCTTTTCCAGAATGTCATATAGTTGGAATCATACAGTATGTGGCATTTTCAGATGAGCTTCCTTCACTTGGTAATATGCACCTAAGTTTTCTCTTTGTCTTTTCATGGCTTGGTAGCTCATTTCTTTTTAGCACTGGAAAATAGTCCATTATCTTTATGTACCACAGTTTATTTTTCATTCATCTACGGAAGGATGTCTTAGCTGTTTCCAAATATTTGCAAAATTATGAATAAGCCTGCAATAAACGTGTGTGTGCAAGTTTTTGTGTGGACATAAGTTTTCAGTTCCTTTGAGTAAATACCAAGGCATATAATTTCTGGATCCCATGGTAAGAGTATGTTTAGTTTTGTAAGAATCCACCAAACTGTCTCCCAAAGTGGCTGTTCCATTTTGCATTTGTATTCATTACAGCAGTGAATGATAATTCCTGTTGCTCTACATCCTCACCAGCATTTAGTATTGTCAGTGTTCTGGATTTTGGCCATTATAATAGGTGTGTAGCGATATTGTATTGCTGTTTTAATTTGCATTTATTTGACGATATATGATGTGGAACATCTTTTCGTATGCTTATTTCCCACTGTATATCTTCTTTAGTGAGATGTCTGTTGAGGTCTTTGGCTCATTTTCAAATCAGGTTGTTTATTTTCTCATTGTTGAATAGGTGCCTTGTAGGATAACAGTCCTTTATCAAATACGTCTTTTGTAAATATTTTCTCCCAGTCTGTGGCTTGCCTTTTCATCTTCTTGACAGTATTTTACAGAACAGAATTTTTTTTTATTTTAATGAAGTTCAGCTTATCAGTTATTTCTTTCATGGATCATGCCTTTGGTGCTGCATCTAAAAAGTCATTACCAAACCCAAAGTCATCTAGAGTTACTCCTATGTTATTTCTAGGGGACTTATACTTTTACATTTTACCTTTAGGCCTGTGATCCATTTAAGTTGAGTTTTGTGAAGGTTGTAAGGTTTGTGTCTAGGTTCATTGCATTTGGATGTCCTGTTGTTTCAGCATGGTGTATTGAAAAGATTATCTTTTCTCCACTATATTGCCTTTGCTTCTTTGTCAAATATCAGGTGAATATATTTTTGTGGGTCTATTTCTGGGTAATCTATTCTGTTTCGTTGATCTCTTTGTCTATTCTTTTGCCAATACCACATTGTTTTGATTACTATATCTTTACGGGAAGTCTTGAAGCTGGCTAGTGTTTGTCCTCTGACTTTGTTCTTCTCTAGTTCTTTTTCATTGTTCGAAAGCATAGGGAATAAAATGAAACTTCCCTTTTAACTTCATTTTTAAAAGACCATATATTTTGATGCCAAATGTGAACAAAGTTGAATAATGAAAAAACTGGAGATCATTCCCAGTTCTAAATAAACATGAGATAACTCTGCAGTATATTAAGAGTACTTGACAAAGTGAAATTACTTTCAGGATTGAGAAGCAATTACAAACACATTGTTCTGGTTTTTTGTCAGGTGGTATCCTAAGATCTGCTCATATATTCATTCAATTTTCACAAGAATAAATTATATGGGTCCCATTATTGTGCCTCGTTTACAGATAAGAAAGTTCAAGTGTTGGGATATTGAGTAAGTTGTTCAAAGTCACACAATTGGTAAGGGCAGAGGCAGGCTTGAATCCAGGAAGTCTGGCTATAGAGTGACACTCTTACCACTAGTGATATTGCTTTTTATGCCAATAGATTACTGGAAGAAACCAGAGCACACATCTCAATAGTAATGAAAAAGATGTGTGATAACATTCAGAATCCACTCCTGAATTAAAAAGAAAGTGCTTACACTAGGAGAGAAGGTTATGTTATTCTTAATATTATAAAGAATATTTATTACTATGGGGAAATAATAATGGATTGTTGAGTGAAAAAGAGATACAGTGTATAAAATATGATTGTAATTATGTTACTAGATAGAAAATATATTAGATATAAGTCAAAGTTAATAATAAATGGGGAGATTATAAATGATTCTATGTCCCTTCACTGGACCTTTTCTATATTTTCTGAGTTTATCACAAATGCATTTATTTTGTAATTTTAAAAATATATATTGTTTAAAAAGCAAAGATTGCCCAAATAAAGAGAAAAATATGGTAGATCAAATGTAAAGTAAGAATTAGAAATCCCAAATAGACATTCATAGAGTATCCTTTGAGTTTCTCCAACAATAAGAGATTATTTTGTGCCCTAGAAGGTGGGAGGGAATTTGTGGCACCATATGAAAATGACAGAGCAAAGCGAGTGTGGAAGCTATGAAGGCAAGTACCAATTAAGTCTGAATTCTTAACTTTGGTCTTCTCCGAAAGGAGCTGAGAAAAGTCTTCATCACAAATCATCTTGAAACTGGAAGAATGGAGGAACGAGGTGAAGAAGGACTCATTAATAACTGAGTATAAAAACAATACCATGTAACATTATTTAAAAGTAGCAAACAATGGCTTGACCAAATCCAGCCATCAAGTGCAGGCATCATCTGCTAATTTGTTGTTCATTGGTAGCCATTAGCTCTGTGACAGGGTTGCTCTAGAAGTACACAAATGAGCTTGCCATTCTCCTTGGAAGCTCAAGGAAGGTGAGGGTGGGTAGAGAAGAGGAAGGCTGTTGAGTCAGTGAAAAAATTCTGAATAAGTCCAACAAACAGAGACAGCCTAAGGTGCATATCAGGAATCAGAATAAGAATTAGCCAGGGTAATAAGAGGGAAGAAGATGATAGCTAGTGAAGGGGAGTGCTTGGTTCAAACAGAGGCCATCTGTCCATACCCAAATGATTTACAGGCAGCAGAACAGTCAGACTAAAGGGCAGCCATTGGATAGGTGTCTCTTTCATCTTATGCAGAAGTACATTATCTTAGCATTTAAACTGAGAGTGAACTGGGCCCCTCATTATGCTTTGCCAAGAGTCCAATATCCTAACATTAAATGGAAAATAGAGTCAAGCACATCATCTGTTGGCATAAAAGTAAAGTTTAAAGAGAAATATAAGCATAAAAGCAGGACTTTCTAGCAATGAGAAGCATCTCAAGGGAAAACAATTTATATAATGAGAGTTGTAAGTACATACACATATTAAAAGCACTCAGACACCTTGCTTGTATTGGCTTTGGGTTATGAATTGAAGAAGACTGCAAAAGCTTGGGACACACCATTTGAGTGTTTCAGAGCTGAAATGAGAAGGACATTCTATTTTTGACCAGGGATATGGGAAACGTGTCAATCTCTGTGTGAGGGTGAAGAACGCACTGAGACAGCCAGAAGAGACATGTGAGTAATGCCACTGACATTTAAAAATCTTTTTCTGGGTCTAAGTATACCCTGGCAACTTCATGGCTTCCTGATAGAAGCAACGCAGTCATATATACCCTCTCCACAACAGATCACTTCCTCTACACCACTAGCCTAAGGACTATGTGGGGAACCAGAGACAGTGGCTAACAATAGCCTTAAACTCACTGTTTCTGTGTCAGATACAAGTAGAATTCTGAATAATACTTTCTTTTTCCTTTTATTCCTCCTTCCACTCAGAGAATACTTGCCTCAATTTTAAGGAGGTATCTCCATCTTCCACTGAGTCAGATGCAGAAATTCAGATCCTTCTCATCTTTGCAACATGCTATACCAGGTGGACTTTACCATGAGTAACAGACCAATCCAGTGAATCTCCAAAACCCACAGCAATAACAGGCACCATGTAAAACAGAGAGGAGTGGTGTCTCCATTCTGAAGTCTTCATTTTGTGGCTTCTTTCACTAACCACATTTCTTTAAACTTAATCAGAGCTAACCCTTCCCTAATTGGACTCAGACAAGCTACTTGAGCACTGGACACAAGACCCAGAAAGAATTCAGGGCTGTGAACAGCTGATTATAATTTCCTGTGGTGATTGAGACATTCACATGCAGACACACACACTTTAGAGATCCTGGTTATACATGTTACTTAGCTATTCTTTATTTAATTGATGAGTAGGCATTCCTGAGGGAAAAGGAAGGGGAGCTTCTTGGATTTTTCTCCATTTCTAACTTCACTGAAGAGCTCTTGGTGGTAACCATGGGTTGCTCACCATGTCCTGTGGATTTCTCCCACAGAGTGACTTAAGAAGGTACAGATTCTGCCTTACCACTCTAGTAACGTTGCTCATGATGACCCAGTCACCATGACCTTCCCTTTTCAAGTTATTTTCTTTTTTTCAGAGTTTTACTCTGAAACTCTGACCAGGAACCAGGAGTTATAAGCCCTTCTTTTGACTTCTCATAGGTGCCTTGTGCTCTGATTGGAAGACTCACCTTGCTTCACCTTGTGTTATATATCTTCCTTGACATTCTTATATTGCACACCTTTCCAGATGGTAGGAACCTGATGCAAAGCCAATAGTCTGTTGCACTGAATTGATTTAATTTGGTTTTGAGCCTAGAGGTTTGCTAAAATTGTTTGGTTTTCTTAAAAAAGACATTGATTCTTTTAATTAAACAAGAGTATATTATGGAAAAATTAGAAAAATGTATAACTACAAAATGAAAATACACATTATACTACCAGTTAGAGACAGATTTCTTATCTTTTTGAAGTATTACTTTCTTTTTTTCCTAAAATTTTAATCAATTATTTAATTTTTCCAATAACTAATAAATTATACCAAGGTCATTTATAAAATGATCATTCTCCCTGCTGGTTTGAACTGATTTTAGCAAATTGAAGTAATTTTTTTTCTATTACAATATTGGTTGAAATGTCACTTCAGTGACACTAAAAAGGTTGTCAAAAGTAGCTATCTCCACCTCCTTGCCTCTCATTCTAAAAGGTATTGCATACCCATCAGCTTCACCAAGATTGCTCTTTTCAAGCTAGGTAGTGCTCTCTATTTTGTTTGTATATTGCTTCAACTATCCACAGGATTTAGCACAATTGACTACCCCTTCCCTGAACTACTTCCTTCTGTCTGCTTCAATACCTGTCTGGTTTTTCTCCAGCCACCCCAGCTATCTTTTTCCTGTTTCCCCTGCTGCCTTGCTCCTTTTCTGTGTGTCCTCCAAATGCCAGCATGCGGGCACATTTTTAGGACTCCTTTGCCTCCCTAACATGCTCATTTGTGCCTTGGCTTTAAATATAATCATCGATTATTGCCCAACATGGATATCTCAAGCCCAACTTGCCAGGACACCAGATTTCTATAGGTTACTGCCTGCTTGTTACTTCCTCAAATCTCTGATAGACATCTAAAACTTACTATATTTGAAACTTTTGATTCCCCACACCCACCCCCATCCTGGTCTTTCTCTAGTCTTCTTAGTATCATGCACCCAGTTCTTTTAGACCATAACTAGGAATTATCGTGATTCCTTTATTTTCTTCAGTGTCCCAATTCAATCTTTTTGACTTTTCCTCCAAAACATATCCCAAATTAATTCACTTCCTTCCAACTTCACTACCCCTACTTTATCCTGGTCACTTTCATCTTTCCCAGACTACTCTGATAGGCTCCTGTCTGGGTTGGCCATTTCCATACTGGCTCTTTGTAGTTCATTCTACAAATAGAAACCAGAGTGATGTTTATAAATGACAAGTCAGACTGTCACTCCTCTGCTTTAAAACCTTCCATTATTTCTTTATTATACTTAAAAAATAAAATCCAAGTTCTTTATCTTGGGTACAAAGTCCTACAAAATCTAACTCCTGTCAACCTCACATATTCTCGCCCCCTTGCCTACTCTTCTCCACCATACTTCTTTCCGTTTCTTGACTACACCAAGCCTGATACTTTCTTTGAAAGGTTCTTTCCCCTGCATTTGCATGGCTCACTTCTTCTAGCCATTCACTTATCAGATTAAATGTCACCTCCTCAAGTCAAAATTATACCACCCTACATGAATTATCTTTATTTTTCTTATGTATTATATATATTATATACATATCTTATATATAATATATATATGCATGTATATGAGAGAGAGAAAAAGAGCATTGTCTGTCTCTCCAATCAGAATACAAAGAGAAACAGACTCTTGTCTACCATATTCACTGTTGTATCCTCAGTGACTAGAATAGTGCTTAGAGCATTATTTTTAAATAAATGAATGAATGTGACATAGGCTAGAATTTTATCTACACTTGCCTATGTTTTTGTTTCTTATTTTCTGTTCTAATGATCTACCTATTCTTTCATCAAACAAGTAAACAAGTAAAACAGAAATAGAAGACTCCATCTCAATTGCCATAGTTATCACATACATTTTAATATTTGATAGGGATAGCCAAAGTTCTCCCTTCTTACACTCATTATTCTAAACATTCCTGGCTAGTATCGCCTGTTTGTTCTCCAAGTGATCTAAAAACACACTATATATTTCTTTATTTGCTCAATTTTCATAGGTTCAGCATAAAGACTCTGTGTGTTTCTTGTTAAGTCAGCTAGTTTATATTTTTCTTGCTATTGTGAACAGCATATTGCTCACACAAGGAGAGATCATGCATTTAGGTTACCTACCTATCTTTTAAAGACATTTGAGTTTGCACCTCCTGATATATAGGAAAATTAATACTCGTCCATATTTATTTTCTATGTAATATTCACAGTGGACTTTTTCATTGGTTTTAGCAGATCTTCAACTAATTTTCTTTAATTTTCTAGGCAGTCTATTATATCATCTGCAAATAACAATCTTTTTTCCCTTCCCAAGAGTTAAGCCCTTTACTCCTTTTCCTCCCTAGTCTGGTTGCATTCAGTAGAACTACCATAACAATATTCAATAATGATGAGTATTCTTGCCTCATAATGACTTTTATATAAATGCCTCTAGTCTCCCTATTAACTATGTTGTTAAATGCTGGTTTTAGATAGATTACTATATTAAGAATGACATAACTTTCTCTCCTAGTTTAAAAGTGCAATATAAGTGTTTCTGGTTGCATAATATATAATGCTTTATATTATAATACATCCTCATTTATTACTTCAGTATGGAAATTATCCCAGGAATGTTATAATATTGCCTTTATCTGATAGGACATTAAATATTGACTGTGTATCCACTATGTTCAAAACATTGTGCTATTTTTAAACTCTGAAAATAAGTAGATTAAAAGAAGGTTTAAATGTGGATGTGGTAATCCAACCCCGTGTTTAATGCTATTTCAGTTCCCACCATCATTTACCAAAATGTTAGATTTGTTATTACAAAATACCAAGGCAAGCAGTTGCTACCCTATATATATATATATTTAGAACCATCATATTTTCTCCCTGTAAGCTATGTCTATTTTTCCTATGACAATTAAAGGTGTTTTTCCAATTCCTTCTTGCAATATCTTAAATAATGAGTCCTAACCTGGATGCATATGACAATTAGCTGAGGTTTGAAATATTCTGATGTTTGGGCCCTTCCCTAAACTAATTGAATCTGAACTACCAGGAGTGGGTCCCAGGCAATTTTATTATTGAAAAGCAACATTCAGCCAGTAGAGTCACTCAGCATTGAACCAAGCACTTTGTGTCTGGCCCTCCAAGAATTCAAGAAAATTAAAAAAACTCTACACCAGTTATTGTCAAACTTTGCTTAGAAATTAAGGGGCAATTAGAAATATCAGGGTGCATTTAAAAATTCAAGGTACAGGATTGGTAAGGGGCAGAGCAAGAAGGCAGAATAGAAGTCTCCACCGATTGTCCCCCAACCCCTGCAAACACACTAATCTAACAACTGTCTGCCAAAAAAAAAAAAAAAACAAAAAACAACAAAAAAAAACCACCTTCATAAGAACAAAAAATCAGGTGAGCATTCACAGTACCTGTTTTTTTAAAATTATTATTATACTTTATATTCTGGGATACATGTGCAGAATGTGCAGGTTCGTTACATAGGTATACACGTGCCATGGTGATTTGCTGCACCCATCAACCTGTCATCTGCATTAGGTATTTCTCCTAATGCTATCCCTCCCCTAGTCCGCCACCCCCTGACAGGCCCCAGTGTGTGATGTTCCCCTCCCTGTATCCATGCGTTCTCATTGTTCAGCTCCCACTTATGAGTGGGAACATGCAGTGTTTGCTTTTCTGTTCTTGTGTTAGTTTGCTGAGAATGATGGTTTCCAGCTTCATCCATGTCCCTGCAAAGGACATGAACTCATTCTTTTTATGGCTACATAGTATTCCATGGTGTATATGTGCCACATTTTCTTTATCCAGGCTATCACTGATGGGTATTTTGCTTGGTTCCAAGTCTTTGCTATTGTGACCAGTGCCACAATAAACATATGTGTGCATGTGTCTTTATAGTAGAATGACTTACAATCCTTTGGGAATATACCCAGTAATGGGATTGCTGGGTCAAATGGTATTTCTGGTTCTAGATCCTTGAGGAATTGCCACACTGTCTTCCACAATGGTTGAACTAATTTACACTCCCACCAACAGTGTAAAAGCGTTCCTATTTCTCCACATCCCCTCCAGCATCTGTTGTTTCCTGACTTTTTAATGATCACCATTCTAACTGGCATGAGATGGTATTTCCTTGTGGTTTTGATTTGCATTTCTGTTATGACCAGTGATGATGAGCATTTTTTCATATGTCCGTTGGCTGTATAAATGTCTTCTTTTGAGAAGTGTCTGTTCATTTCATTCACCCACTTTTGATGGCATTGTTTGTTTTTTTCTTGTAAATTTGTTTAAGTTCTTTGTAGATTCTGGATATTAGCCCTTTGTCAGATGGATACATTGCAAAAATTTTCTCCCATTCTGTAGGTTGCCTGTTCACTCTGATGATAGTTTCTTTTGCTGTGCAGAAGCTCTTTAGTTTAATTAGATCCCATTTGTCAATTTTGGCTTTTGTTGCCATTGCTTTTGGTGTTTTATTCATGGAGTCTTTGCCCATGCCTATGTCCTGAAAGGTATTGCCCAGGTTTTCTTCTAGGGTTTTTATGATTTTAGGTCTTAGGCTCCGGTTTTAACTTTATATCACTGAAAGAGGCACTGAAGAGGTGGTAAAACAGTCTTGAATCACCGACACCACCCCTCCCTCATCCTGTGACAGCAGTGGCATGGTGCAGAGAGCTTTTCTGTGCACTGGGGAGAGAGAGAGTGCAGTAATTATGAGGCACTGAGCTCAGTGCTGTCCTATTATAAAAGAAAAAAACTGGATGAAACTTAACTGATGCTCACCCATGGAGGGAGCATTTAATCCAGCCCTAAACAGAGGGGAATCACTGACCCCCAGCAGTCTAAACTTGAGTTCCCCGCAAGCCTTGCCACCATGGGCTACAGTGGCAGTCTAGGCCACTGGGACTACAACTCCTAGGCAAGCCCTAATGCTGAACTGGGCCCAGAGACAGTGATAGTGGGCTAAGCGGGGCATGTGACCTAATGACACATCAGTCAGGGGAAGCTAAGGGAGTGCTGGCATCACCATTCCCCTAACCCCAGGCTGCACAGCTTGTGGCTCCAAAAGAGACCCTTTCCCTCCACTTGAGGAGAGGAGATGGAATAATGTGGAAAACTTTGTTTTGCATCTTGGATAAGCTCAGCCACAGCAGGATAGGACATCAGTCAGAGTCATGAGGTCCCCTTTCCAGGCTGTAGCTCCTGGACAACATTTCTATACATACCTGAGACCAGAAGAGAACCCACTGCCTCGAAAGGAAGGACCTACTCCTGGCAGGATTAATTATCTCCTAACTAAAGAGTCCTTGGGTCCTGAATAACCAGCAGTAATAGCCAGGTATCATGGCAAGGGCCTTGGGTGAGCCTCTGAGACTTGCTGCCTTCAGGTGAGACTCAGCCTATTCCCAAATCTGGTGGCTAGGTGGCAAGATGCCTTTCACGTGAAGAACAGAGGATGGAAAAGTAAAGGGGACTTTGTCTTGCACCTTAGGTGCCACCTTGGCTACAGGGGGATAGAGCACCAAGAGGACTCTCAGGGTCCCCAATTCCAGGAGTTGGCTCTTGGATGGCATTTCTGGACCTGCCCTGGGCCAGAGGGGAGCCTGTTCCCCTGAAAAGTGAGTCCCAAACCAGGCAGCATTCACCACAAGCTGACTGAAGAGCTGTTAGGCCCTCAAGGAACATCAGAGGTAGTCTGGCAGTACTCCTCATGAGCCTATGGTAGTGTGGCCACAGGGTGAGGCTCCTCTCTGTTTGGAAAGGGGTGGGAAGAGTGGGAAGGACTGTGCCTTGTGGCTTGAGTGCCAGCTCAGCCGCAGCACACTAGAATACCACGTAGAATTCTAAGGTTTTTGCTTTTAGTTCTTAGCTCCCAGATGGCACTTCTGGACCTGCGTGGGGAGTGGAGGAACTCACCACCTGAAAGGAAGAACACAGGCCTGGCTGGCTTTACCACCTGCTAAGTGTAGAGCCCTAGGGCCTTAAGCGAACATAAGCTGCAGCCAAGGACTGGTTATGGTAAGCCTTGGGCAACACCCAATGCTGTGGTGACTTTGGGTCTGATCCAGCACAGTGCTAGTGGTGGTGGCCACAAGGGTGCTTGGGTCACTCCACTGCCAGCTCCAGGTGGCTCAGAACAGAGAGAGAGGCTCTGTTTGGGAGAAAGTAAGGAAAGAGAACAAGAGTCTCAGTCTGGTAATCCACAGAATTCTTCTAAATCTTATCCAAGACCATCAAGGCAGTACCTCTATGAGTCTGGAGGAACCACTGCATTATTGGGCATGGGGTGGCCCCTAAAGCACATACAGCTTAGATCACAACTCCCAAGTCCTTCTGAATATATGGAAAGCCTTCCCAAGGAGGATGGGTACAAACAAGCCCAGACTGAGAAGACTACAATGAATACCTAACTCTTCAATGCCCAAACACAGACAAATATCTACAAGTGTCATGACCATCCAGGAAAGCATGACCTCACCAAATGAACTAAATAAGGCACTAGGGACCAATCCTGGAGAAACGGATATGTGACCTTTCAGACAGAGAATTCAAAATAGCTGTTTTGAGGAGACTCAAAGAAAAATCAAGATAACACAAAGAAGGAATTCAGAATTCTATCAGACAAATTTAGTAGAGATTGAAATAACTAAAATGAATAAAGCAGAAATTCTGGAATTTGGCATACTGAAGAATTCATCAGAGTCTTTTAATAGGAGAATTGATCAAGCAGAAGAGGAATTAGTGAGCTTGAAGATAGAGTATTTGAAAATACAAAGTTAGAGGAAACAACCACAAAAAAGAATAAAAAAGCAATGAAGCATACCTGCGGGATCTAGAAAATAGCTGCAAAAGGGCAAATCTAAGAGTTGTTGGCCTTAAAGAGAAGGTAGAGAAAAAGACGGGTAGAAAGTTTATTCAAAGGGATAATAACAGGGAACTTCCCAAACCTAGAGAAAGATACCCATATCAAATACAAGAAGGTTATAGAACACCAAGCAGATTTAACTCAAAAGACTGCCTCAAGGCATTTAATAATCAAACTCCCAAAGGTCAAGGATAAAGAAAGGACCCTAATAGCAGCAAGAGAAAAGAAACAAACAACATACAATGGAGCTCCCATATGTCTGGCAGCAGACTTTTCAGTGCAAACCTTATAGGCCAGAAGAGAGGGGCATGACGTAATTAAGTGCTAAAAGAAAAAGAAAACTAACCTAGATTAGTGTATCTGGTGAAAATATTCTTCAAACGTGAAGGAAAACTAAAGACTTCCCCAGACAAACAAAAGTGGAGAGATTTCATCAACACCACACCTATCCTACTACAAATGCTAAAGGGAGTACTTCAGTCAGAAAGAAAAGAACATTAATGAGCAATATAAAATCATCGGAAGCTACAAAACTCACTGGTAATAGTAAGCACAAAGAAAAACAAAGAATATTGTAACACTGTAATTATGGTGTGTAAACTACTCATGCCTTAAGTAGAAAGATGAAAAGATGAAACAATTGAAAGGAATAACTAGAACTTTTTAAGACATAGGCAGTATAGTAAGATATAAATACAAACAACAAACAGTTAAAAAGTGGGAGGATAAAGTTAAAGTGTAGAGCTTTTATTCATTTTCTCTTTGCTTGTTTATGCAATGAGTATTCAGTTGTCATCAGTTTAAAATAATGGGTTATAAAATACTATTTGCAAGCCTCACGGTAACATACATAATAACATACGATGGCTACAAAAAAATAAAAAGCAAGAAACTAAATTATATCACCAGAGGAAAAAACTTTCACTAAAAGAAAGACAGGAGGAAAATTAAAAAGGAAGAGAAGGCCACAAAACAACCAGAAAACAAATAACAAAATGGCAGGAGTAAGTACTTCTTTATCAATAATTACATTGAATGTAAATTGACTAAATGTACCCAATGAAAAGATCCATTGATCTGTCACCTACAAGAAACACAAATAAAGATAACTATAAAGACACACATAGACTGAAAATAAAGGGAAGAAAAAAGATATTCCATGCAAATGGAAACAAAAAAAGAGTAAGAATAGTTATATCAGACAAAATAGATTTCAAGACAAAAACTATAGGAAGAGACAAAGAAGGTCGCTGTATAATGATAAAGGGGTCAATTTAGCAAGAGGATATAACATTTTAAATATATATGCACCCAACACCGGAGCACTCAGAGATATAAAGCAAATATTATTAGAGCTAAAGAGAAAGATAGGCTCCAATACAATCATAGTTAAGAGACTTCAACACTCCATTTTCAGCATTGGACAGATCTTCCAGACAGAAAATCGACAAAGAAACATTGGACTTAATTTTTACTATAGACCAAATGGACCTAATAGATATTTACGAACATTTCATCCAGTGGCTGCAGAATAAACATTGTTTTCCTCAGCACATGGATCATTCTCAAGGATAGGCCATATGTTAGGTCACAAAACAAGTCTTAAAATGTTTTAAAAAGTTGAAATCATATCAAGCATCTTCTCTGACCACAATGGAATAAAACTGAAAATCAATAACAACAGAAATTTTGGAAACCATACGAGTACGTGGAAACTAAACAACATGCTCCTGAATGACCAGTGGGTCAATAAAGAAATTATAAGAAGGAAATTGAAAATCTTCTTGAAACAAATGATAAAGGAAACACAAAATACCAAAACCTATGAGATACAGCAAAAGCAGTACCAAGAGAGAAGATTACAGCTATACGTGCTGGCATCAAAGAAGAAGAAAAACTTCAAATAAACAACCTAATGAATTAAATTAAATTAAAGAATTTGAAAAGCAAAAGCAAACCAAGCCCTAAATTAGTAGAAGAAAAGGAATAATAAAGATCAGAGCAGAAATAAATGAAATAAAAAAGAAGGAAACAATACAAAAGATCAATGAAACAAAGATGGTTTTTTGAAAAGTTAAACAAAGTGACAAAACTTCTGCCAAAATAACTGAGAAAAAAGAGAAGATCCAAACAAATAAAATTGCAGATGAAGAGGAGACATTACAACTGATACTGCAGAAATTCACAGGATCATTAGATGCCAATAAAGTTGAAAACCTAGAAGAAATGGTTAAATTCCTAGATGCATAAAACCTACCAAGATTGAACCATGAAGAAATCCAAAACTGGAATAGACCAATAACAAGTAATGAATTCAAAGCTGTAATAAAAACTCTGTCAGTAAAGAAAAGCCCAGGACCTAATGGCTTCACTGCTGAATTCTATCAAACATTTAAAGAAGAACTAATACCAATTCTACTCAAACTATTATGAAAAATAGAAGAGAAGGGAATACTTCCAAACTCATTCTGAGGTCAGTATTACTCTGATACCAAAATCAGACAGATACATCAATAAAAGAAAACTAACTACAGGCCAATATCTCTGATGAATATTGATGCAAAAACCCTCAACAAAATACTAGCAAATTGAATTCAACAAAACATTGGAAAGATCATTCATCATGACTGAGTAGAATTTATCCTTAGTATTCAAGGATGGTTCAACATATGCAAACCAATCAATGTGATACATCATATCAACAGAATAAAGGATTAAAAAACCCATATGATCATTTCAACATCCCTTCATTATAAAAAATATTCAAAAAACTGGATACAGAAGGAACATACCTTAACATAATAAAAGCCATATATGGCAAAAGCAACCTAAGTGTTCATTAACAGATGAATCAATAAAGAAAATGTAGTACTTACATACGATGTAATACTACTATTCAGCCATAAAAAGAATGAGATTCTGTCATTTGCAACAACATAGATGGAACTGGAGGTCATTATGTTAAGTGAAATAAAACAAGCACAAAAAAACAAACTTTTCATATTCTCATTTATTTGTGGGATCTAAAAATCAAAGCAATTGCACTTATGGACGTATAGAGTAGAAGGATGGTTACCAGAGGCTGAGAAGGTCAATGGGGGTTTGGAAGGGGAGGTGGGATGGTTAATGTGTACAAAAACAACAAAAAGAAAGAATGAATAAGACCTATTATTTGATAACATAACAGGGTGACTATAGGCAAAAATAATTTAATCATACATTTTAAAATAACTGAAAGAGTATAATTGGATTGTTTGCAACACAAAGGATAAATGCTTGAGGGGATGGATACCCCATTTTACATCATGTGATTATTACACATTTTATGCCTATATCAAAACATCTCATGTACTCCATAAACATATACACATATTATGTACCCATAAAAATTAAAATTAAAAGTTAAAAAAATTATGATGACCAGGTCACACTTAAAGGCAAATAAGAACCTCTGTGGCATCAGTTTTATTTTACACACCACGTGTAAACCCAAAGTGTAGCCAAATTTAAGAACTGCTGTTCTACACTCCTGCAAATCAAAGTATGGTCTGTGGTTCAGCAGCATTGTTATAACCTGGAAGCTTGTTAGAACAACTGATCTCAGATTTATCATATATGCAGATGACTTTGTTACATTAAAGTTTTAGTAGCACTGCTTCCACAAGGGGTTTCAGCCTTGTAGCTTAGATCCTAAACTTTGAGACTTATTATTTTGCTTATGATTTTAATTCATGCAGTGGGGAGCAGTGACAACACTAGGGAGTAATTCCAAAGATTTGTTTCAAAAGAGCATCTGGACTTTTGAGGAAGCCACATGTCCCTGCAGGGATGTCATTTCATCCCTTTTGCTCTTGTTAACTTTATCTTTAAGTTTTTGTTGTAGTTCTTTCATTTATTTTGTTCCTGGTCTTGCACATGTTTGGTGACTATAACAGGTTGAGGGGAAATATGATGCTAAGTGAGATGTGAGGCAAGTGAAAGCCTTCATGCACTTAATGTAAAAATGAAATGACACCCTAAATATAAAGTGTGAATTGCTTGTAGATGCGCTGGCACCCTGAGGTGTGGGAGGAGAAGGAGGCAGTAGCCACAGTACTCACCTGAGCAGGCTGGCTCAGCTCCCTGTTGGAACAATGGGATTCCCTAATGGCAAAATCACACCTGAGCCTCCTTTAACACTCCAAAAGCAGCAACCTCCTTATGAGCAGGGGGAGTTGTTTTTCAAGCAACATAGAGTCCTGATAAATAACGTTTTCACTTAGGTAGAGTCAGTCACTTAGCATTGAAACAGCTTTCTAGATATGATAGGTATTTTTAGAATTTGCATTAATTCTATCAGCATTATGGCTAAGAAATGGGCTGAGCAATAGCTAGTAGAAGATTGGCTAAAAGTCTACAAGGATTTCCCCTTGCTTTTAGAATCTCCCTATCACCCCATTGCAGCCCCAGGTTTGTCCTGTGCTCATGTGACCTATGTAAATACCTTACACCTTATATCCCTTCCTGCTCCCTACTCCCAAACACATGCACAAACTGGGAATCCCCTGTGCCCCCTTTCTAAGAGAGTCTTTCCTAGCTAATAGTGGAATGTTGGAAGGGGACATCCTGAAAGACTCAGCATAATTATTAATGTGGCTAATATTTATCAGGTCCTTTCAATGTGCCAAGCACTTAATGAGCATTATTTCATTTCATTCTCATAACAATTGTCTGAATTTAGTATTATTATTATTATCCCCATTTTGTAGAGGAAAAAAATAAGTAACTGACCTGAGATCCCACAGCTATTCAAAGTCAAGCCTGGTGGGATGCAAACTCAGGCATTCTGTCCCCAGAGCCCATGCTCCGACCCACTTGACCCACTACACTAAAAGAGCTCCCTAAATGAGACTCTCTTGACAAAATGAGGAACTTAAACTTGGCTTGGTATGAAAATCCTAAGCACAAAATTTTAGACTAATACAATGTACTCCCATATATCTACCACCTAGATTTATCAACCATTAACTTTTTGTCTTATTTATTTCATCCATATTTATTTTTATTGAGTCACGTAAAAGTAAATTTTAGATCTTCTTATATGTCATCCCTTTAGTAGATAGAATGGTGGTTCCAAAAACATATAGCCATGCCCTAATCTTCAGAACCTATCAATATTACCTTATATGTTAAAAGATGGAATGTTACCTTATTTGGAAAAGGGGTCTTTGCAAATGTAATTAACTTAAGAATCTTTAGATGAGGAGATCATCCTGGTGGGCCCTTATCCCAGTGGGCCCTAAATCCAAGGATAAGCATCCTTGTAAGAGAAAGCCAGAGGGAGATTTGACATGCAAGTTCCTTGGCAGCGGCAAGCCAAGGAATGCCAGGAGCTAACACAAGCTGGAAAAAGCAAAGATAGATTCTCCCCTAGAGCCATCAGAGGGAGCACAGTCCTGCCAACATCACTTCAGTCAAAATTCTGGTTTCTGGAACTTTGAGATAATAAATTTCTGTTATTTTAAGCCACCAAGTTTGTAGTGATTTGTTATGGCAGACCTGGGAACAAGTACAACCTTTCAATGATTGAGTATGCATCACCAACAAAATCAGGATATTCTTCCATATATAGACAATAAAATGATCATATCTAACAAAATTAACATGAATTCCATATATATTTATATAAACAAGTATATATTTATATATAATAAACAAGTACATATTTTATATAAAATAATACATTTATATAAACAAGTATATATGAATATATTTAGATATATTTATACAAATTTATCTATTTAAATATATAAATTATATATTTAATATTATATAAATTAATATAATTTAAATATATAGAGAGAGAAGAAGAAGAAAAAGAAGAAGATTCTATTCATTATTATAAAGAATTGGCTCATGCAGTTATGCAATTATGAAGGTGATGTTCTACAATCTGCTGTCTACAGTTGGAAACCCATGAAAGCTGGTGGTGTGGTTTAGCCTGAATCAGAAAGCCTGAGAAGTAGGAGAGTCAATGTTAAAGTTCCAGCCTGAATCTGAAGGCTTGAAAACCAGAGAAGTTGATGGTATAAATCCTAGTCCAAAGGCAGGAGAAGACTGATGATCCAGCTCAAGCAGGTGGACAAGAGAAAATTTTTCCCTTCCTTTGCTTTTTGTTTTATTCAGGCCCTCAGTGGATTGATGATGCCTACTCATATTGGGGAGGGCAGTCTTCTTTACTGAATCCAGCAATTCAAATGCTAATTCTATCCAGAAACACCCTCATAGACATACCTGGAAATGATGTTTAGCCAAATGCCTGGCACCCTGTGACTCAGGTGAATTGAAATAAAATTAACCATCACAGATGTCAAGACTGGCACTGACCCCAAAGCATTTGTATTCCATGCAGAGCTCACTGTGGCTAGAATTTCACCTTTTGAAATGTCTGTATTTATGTAAGTTTTCCCTGCTTCCTTTGAAAATGCCACATTTCTAGACAGTTGCATGCATTACATGACTAGCACAGTGGTATTAAGTGATTTTATGATCTACATGGCTTTTCCACTGATCAGATGGTCAAACAGAATTTGAGGCTAATAGGTGTTTGAAAAAGAAAACCTTCACCTACTTTCTAATTTTTCCAGGGCTGGATACAGTGAACTGGAGGAATAGCGGGGAGAATTGCCAATACTCAGGAGTCAGGCTTCACATTGATCATGCAGCTAATAAGAAAGAAGGCAAAGGTACCAAGCCCCTTGCCATATGAGAGCTTCCAGCAACTTTGGCAGAAGATAGAAAGGAAAATACTACTACTATTTAGAAACTGCACTGATATTTCTTGACTTCTCCTGAATCGACTACTGTTTTCCCCTCAGTGATTCAAATACAAGAGAAATTTTTCTCATCATTCTGTGTCTCAAAGCTCTGAAATAAGGCATCTTTTCCTGTCTTTTATTTGATTTAAGGCCAGCTTCAAGCATTTATTGAACTGATTAGCACATTAGTTTTATTTTTTTTTTCCATGTCCTTTTATGTTCTGGTGAGTTTATTAGGTGAGGCCAGTTTCCTTCAGAGAATTTAATCCAAAGGCCTTTACTAGAAGGCTGGCATGTTTCCTTTTCTCATAAAGATAAGGAAACATCAACAGGCATAACATAGCAGAATGTCTAGCCTAAGTTATGGAAAAGATTCCATGCCATACTCCCTGGTGAGGTTGACTTCACACTTACTGGCTTACTTCTCCTGATACTTGGTTTACAAGTGAGACAAGTAATCCCCTCTGAGGGTAACTGGTCATGTTTCTTTGTTTACTCTGGGGGTCATTTTGCCACTAACAGCTATGCTGGCTCTATGCAGAACTTCAAACCTCAGGCTGTCTACCTGAGCTATAGGGAAGAAGAAGCTACAGAGTTCCCTTTAATAAGACATCAGCAATACATTTAGCTGTCAGAGAAGATGGGTCATATTTAGGAATACATGGAGAATAAGTTTTAAAAGAGAGAGAATCCAAATGTATTGTACTCTTAATTAGAGGTCCCTAAACTGCAAATTCATTTGCTAATATAATTTCTCATGCTTTTTATTTCAATAATGTATGTATTCGGTAATGTCTGATAAATACTTGCACTTCATTTTTTGTTGCCCACTCATTTATTAACTTCTGCAGCAGTGTCTTGGATGGAGGGAGAACTGGAGAAGCACTGAATAGAAAAGAGGGTGATATTACAAAATCCCTGAAGTTGGAGAAACACAAGCAGCCTGAACACACTTCTGTCCTCACCAATGGGAAAAGCTCAGCTGCTCTTTCATTTTGCTTCTACATTCCCCAAACCCCAGGCTACTCTACAATCCTTTTTTATATCTTTTAAGATAACATTTTATATTGAGGAAAGATTGAACAAAGGTATTGAATTATCCAGAACAAAATGGAAACTTTTTGGAATTGTGAAGCCTACCAAAGCTTCACAATTCAACTCATCAATTATGTGGATGCTGCAAAGACCAATTTTTAAAGAGTGTTTGATATTGCTTAATTATACTTATTTATTACTTATTTGCTTCTTGTGCTTATTATCATTAAAGAAAAAGAAAGCAAAATTTCAAGCTTTCCTGGACAACTCTTCCAGGACAATCAATCTACTTCTATTCCATATTTTCTTAATTTTAACAATACATAATTATGTACAGTAGATTCTCATTGGTGGGAACATAATGAATACAAATTTTATACTGGTCATACATAGTGTGTTCATGTAAGATGGGTCAAATCTGGGGCAGACCTCAGAGGGCGTCCTGGAAGATGATGACATGTGGAGTGACACCACCAAATCCAACTGCCCCAAAACACACAAAGCCCCAAACTACCAAAATCACTCAACAGGTAAATAAAAACATACAAATATAAACAGGTAAATAAATTGGTCTCTAAACAGGTATGCAAAAATATAAACTAAAAAAAACATAACATAGAGTGAGCACAACAGACAATGGGAGGGGAGAGGGATCAAAGAGGCTGATTAGAGGCAAGGAGTACATGCGCCCTCCATGGAGAGGAACCAGAATAGTAAGCAGATACTCCAAACAGATCATCGAGGAGAGAATTCACCAGAGAAGACATGGGAAGCACCAGAAGTAAGTAAGGAGAGAGTTTGCGACAGCTTGCTGGCAGGGGGCTGAGAGCCAGGAGAGGCTCGCGGGTGTGGGAAAACCTCAGGGCTCCGAAATGGGTTTTTACAATCTTGGCTACAAGAGAATCCCTCAACCCACTAGGGCCTCAGGCCTGACACACAGAGATGCCTAAAGACTGCTCAGAGACATTGCTCCAGAAAGGGTACCCCACATGCCTCCAAGCCAAGAGCAGCCTCAGCTGGGCACCATTCTGAGAGTCTAGCTACTACGGATCTACAGACATGGCTGCTGCTGCTGCACTGATTCTAGGAGACAGAGGGAGAGGCTGGGTACTCCCGTGCACCCCCTGGGAGGGTCCCTACTGCCCTGCCGCAGGCTGCTGTTGAGACTGAGATGTGAGTAGACTACACTTGCACTCCCCTTGGTATCTTGCCTACACTGCTTGCCTGGGAGGTGCCCCACCCTCCCTGGACCCTGGACGCAGGCCCAAAGCACCATTTCGAGTCTAATGCTGGGTTGTGTCCTGCCCTCAGGCTAAGTTCAGGCCGCCATGGCTGCAGCTGCTGCTAAGGAGGATCAGGGAAACTAGGCTCTCCTACATATATCTAGAATAATACCACTGTTCTGGAATGAGTGGCATAAGACTGAGACACAAGTGGACCACACTCCCCACAGCTTCTTGCCCATGCTACCTGCTTGGGAGGGGCCTCACTGCCCTCACTGGTTGCAAGACGAAGGTACCATTTTGAGAGTTTAATGCTAGGCTTCCCCCTGCCCTTGGGCAAAGTTCGAGTTGACGTGGCTGCACCTGCCACCCATCTAGGGGAAGAACATGGGAGAGCAATCTCTCCTGAGCACACTTAGGACAATACCCACTGCCCTGCTATGGGTGGCTGTGGGATTACGGACTAGGCTTCTCAGCCTGTTGCAGCTTCCAGCAATACCAACACAGACTGCTTGGGTCCCGGTGGTTGCTTTTCTACTGCTACTTTCATCACCCACACCACACCAACTGCCCAGAGGTCTGAGAACACACCCACATAACTGGCCCACTGCTCCCACTATTAGCTTCCAAGCAAGCCACCTGGAGGCTAAGAAGAAGCCCTCTAGAATCCAGTAACATGGTGCCAGTGTCAACTGCTCTGGGGCCTAAAACAGGCACACTCACCCCGCTGCTGCCACCACTGGAGCCCAAAGACTGGCTCATGTGCCATCCAAGTCCCCAGATAAACTTCACCACAACCTCAGCTAATAGCTATGCCTTAAGTCACTAAGAAAATCAGATACCACTGATCCTGTGTACCGCTGAAGAAGTTATACAAAAATCACACTACTGCTGGCACCCAAAGCCAAAACCAAAGTATCTTAATCAACAAAATACATACATACTCAGGAAAAAATTTTTTCCTACAAAAACAATTTCAAAAAATTAGAACAGACAACTGCTACATTAGATGTGCAGATGTCAATGGAAAGACACAGGAAATATGAAAAAGCAGGGAAATATGATGCCACCAAAGGACCACAACAATTGTCTAGCAAGTTTCCAATCAAGAATTCCTTGAAATGCGAGATAAATAATTAAAAATATTGATTTCGAAGAAGCTTAATTAGATGAAAAAGAAATCTGAAAACCAATACAGAGAAATCAAAAATCAATTCAGTATATGAATGAAAAATTTACAAGAAGATAGATAGTTTGTTTTTTTAAGACACGGTCTTTCTCTGTTGCCCAGGCCAAAGTGCAGAGGTGTAATCATGGCTCACTGCAGCCTTGAACACCTGGGCTCAAGTGATCCTCCCACTTCAGCCTCCTGGGTGGGTAGGACTACATGTGCATGCCAGCCACAACTGGCTAATTTTTAAATTTTTTTGTAGAGATAGGGTTTCACCCAAGCTAAGATAGTTATCTTAGAAAAACTGAGCAGAAATTCTAGAAATAAAAGATTAATTGAAGGAAATACAAAATAAGTGTAAAAGCTTCAATAACAGACTGGACCAAGCAGAAGAAAGAATGTCAGAAGCTGAAGACTGGTCTTCTGAAATAATCCATTCAGACAAAAATAAGCAAAAAAGAATAAAAAAGAATGAACAAAGTCTTTGAGACACTGGGACTACATAAAGTTACTGAACTTACGAGTTATTGGTTCTCCTGAAGGGGAAAAGGGATAAAAAAGTTTATAAACTCTATTTCAAAAAATAATTGATGAAAACTTCCCAAGCCTGTCAGAGAGTTAGCTAGATACAGGAGGCTCAGCAATCCCCAGGCAAGTATAAAAAGTAGTTCCCCACAGCATGTTGTATTCAGAATATCTAATGTCAAAGTGAAAAAACGAATTTTAAGAGAAAAGCATCAAGTCACCTGTAAAGGAAATGGATAAATTCTGGAAACATGCAACCTCCTGAGATTGAAGCAGGAAGAAATAGAAACTTCTGAACAGATCAACAATAAATAGCGAGATTGAATCAGTAATAAAAAAGTCTCCCAACAACAACAAAAAAGCCCAAGTTCAGATGGATTCACAGCTGAATTCTATCAAACATACAAAGAACTAATACCAATCCTTCTGAAACTATTTTTAAAAAATGAGGAGGGGGGAACTCTTTGTAACTCATTCTGTGAGGCCAATGTCACCCTGATACCAAAACCAGACAAAGATACAACAAAAAAGAAAACAAGAAACCAATATCCCTGATGAACACAGGCACAAAAATCCTCAAAATAACACTAGCAATTCGAATCCAACAGCATACTACACCATGATCAGGTGGGATTTATCCCAGGGATACAAGGATGGTTCAACATATGCAAATCAATTAATGGGACACATCACATAAACAGAACTAAGGACAAAAAATATATGATAATCTCAATATATGCAGAAAAAGTATTTGATAAAATCTGGCATTCCTTTATGATAAAAGTACTCAACAAACTAGGCATAGAAGAAACATACCTCAACATAATAAAGGCCATATATGACAAACCCATACCCAACATCATACTCAATGGTAAAAAGTTGAAAGCATTCTCTCTAAGAACTGGAACAAGACAAGGATGCCCACTTTCACCACTCTTATCCAACACAGTACTGGAAGTCCTCACCAGAGCAATCAGGCAAGAAAAGGAAATAAAAACATCCAAATAGGAGAAAAGGAAGTCAAATTATCCCTGTTTACAGATTCTGTGTTATTATATCTAGAAACCCCTAAAGACTCTACTAGAAAATTATTAGATTTGATAATAAATTCAGTAGTTTCTGTCCAAAATTAATGTACAGAAATCAGCAGTGTTTCTACACAACAATGATCTAGCTAAGAACCAAATCAAGAAGGTGAGTCTACTTATAACAGCTAAAAAAAGAGGAAATACCTAGGAATAGATTTAACCAGGGAGGTGAAAGATCTCTATAAGAAGAATTATAAAACACTGATGAAAGAAGTTGTAGATGACATAAACAAATGAAAAAAACACCCCATGCTCATGGATTGGAATAATCACCATCATTAAAATACCTTACTGTCCAAAGCATTCTACAGATCCTATGCAATCCCTATCAAATTACCAATGACATTTTTTCAGAGAATTAGAAAAAACATCCTGAAATTCGTATGAAACCAAAAAAAGAGCCTGAATAACCAAAGCAATCCTGAACAAAAAGAACTAAGCTGGAGGCATTACATTACCTGACTTCGAATTCTACTACAAGGCTATAGTAACCAAAGCAGCATAATACTGGTGTAAAAATAGACATATAGATCAATGGAACAGAATAGAGAACCAGTAATAAAGACATATAATTACAACAAACTGATCTTTGACAAGTCAATAAAAATAAGCAGTGGTGATATGACATACTATTCAATAAATGGTGCTGGGAAAGTTGGATAGCCATATGTAGAATAATGAAACTGGACCCATACCTCTGACCACATACAAAAATTAAGTCAAGATGGATTACATACCTAAATATAAGACCCAAAAATATAAAAATCCTAAAAGAAAACCTAGGAAAAACTATTCTAGACATTGCCTAGGTAAAGAATTTATGACTAAGTACCCAGAAGCAAATGCAACAAAAACAAAAATAGACAAACAGGACTTAACTAAACTAAAAAGCTTCTTCACAGCAAAAGAAACAATCAACATTGCAAACAGGTAACCTACAGAATAGGGAAAAAGTATTTGCAAACTATGAATCTAACAAAGGGCTAATATCTAGAATCTTCAAGGAACTCAAACAACTCATCAAAAAAACAAACACTGAAAAAAAACCATTGTAAAGTGGGCAGAGGAAATAAACAGACATTTTTCAAAAGAGGACACACAAGTGGCCAAGAAACATGAAAAAATGTTCAGCATCACTAATCATCAAAGAGATGCAAATTAAAACCACAATGAGATACCATCAAACACCAGTTAGAATGGCTGTTATTAAAAAGTCTAAAACCAATAAATGTTGGCAAGGATGTGAAGAAAAGAGAATGCTTATGTACTCTTGGTGGCAATGTAAGTTAGTACAATCTCTATGGAAAATAGTATGGAGGTTTCTCAAAGAGCTGAAAATAGAAGTACCATTCGATCCAACAGTCTCACTACTAGGTATATACTCAATGGGAAAGAAATTATATCAAAAAGATACCTGCACTTATATGTCTATCACAGTACTATTTTCGATAGTAAAGATATCAAATCAACCTAAGTGTCCATCAGTGGAGGATTATATGAAGAAAATGTTCATATTTATTACTCAGCCATAGAAAATAATGAAGACATTTTTGGGTTGGAGGCCATTATCCTAAGTGAAATAACTTAGAAACTTAACACTTACAAGTGGGAGCTAAACAATGTGTACACAAAGGCATACAGCATGGAGTAATAGACACCTGGAGACTACAAAAGGTGGGAAGGTGGGAGCGAGTTGAGGATTGAAAAATTACCTATTGGATACAATGCTTACTATGTGGGTTATGGGTATATTAAAAGCCAAGGCTTCTCTACTACGCAATATACACATTTAAGATATCTGCACTTGCACCTCCTAAATACATAAAAATTTAAATAAAAAATTGATGATGGACTCTTAAAAAAATCATATGAGTTGGGCTGGGTGTGGTGGCTCATGCCTGTAATCCCAGCACTTTGGGAGGCTGAGGCGGGCAGATTACCTGACATCAGGAGTTTGAGACCAGCCTGGCCAACCTGGCGAAACCTTGTCTCTACCAAAAATACAAAAATTAGCCAGGCATGGTGGTAGGCGCCTGTAATCCCAGGATTACTCAGGAGGCTGAGGAATAAGAATTGCTTGAACTTGGGAGGTGGAGGTTGCAGTAAGCCGAGATGGCACTACTGCACTCCAGCCAGCCTGGGGAATAGAGCGAGACTCTGTCTCCAAAAAAAAAAAAAAAAAAAAAAAAGATGACTCAAAAAATAACCCAACAGTCCAGTCCACAGAAGAGGATGATGGAAACTGGTAAATGCAATCAAATCCCTTGTGAAATCACCTGTTGAAATCTTTTCATTTTTATGAGGTTCAGAAAGGCAATGGGATTTGTCCAAAGTCTTAGTTAATACTCAATTCTGCCTTTGTCACATGGAAGTAGTCATATGCAATATGTAAAAATGGATATGGCTGTGTTGCTACAATCCTTTACTTACAAAAACAGCCAACAAGTCAGATTTTGTCCTTGGGCTGTAGTTTGTTGACTATTGATAGAGGCTCATAAGAAAAAACAATAAGAATTGTGACCTTATACTATAAACTCTCCTCCTCTCCAAACAAAGCAATTGTCTGTGTGTGTGTATGTGTGTGTGCACATATGTGTGCACATGACATATATTTGTGCAAAAGGCAATATGAACACTTCTGTGGACCAGAAATGGAATAGAAACCCAGAGCTATCAGTTGGGTTGAAGCATATGCACTAGGTAGCATGTGCAGAAGGAGATGAAGACAGACAATAGAGAACCCAAAGCTTTTCACACCATGGTGAGAGACCTGAACTGGACTCATTATGTTACACCAGGAGCTAAGGCGTGCTTCTCTGTTCAAGAAACGAAGGCTGAATAAACTGATACTACTGTTTTCGGCTATAGCTTGCATAAAATATAAGTTGTAGCAAGAAGCAGCAGCAAAAGTCAATCAGAACATTCAGGTCTGGAAAGAGCTTCTTGCTGCCTGAGTGCATGGATCGTTGTATTCACAGTTCATCTTGAAGCTGGAGCTAATTTAGGACCTGGTTCTACTTCTGGGCTGAGGAACTTTATCTAGAAAACTGCTTAGAGCAGAGTGAGACCAAAGACCAAAACCACAAAACAATAAAAACACTTTCTATTCAAGGTGAAACTACAAACCGAAATTTAAGAGCATATTAGGAAATTTAATGTTAAGAATGAAACTAAGAAAACAAAGTATAAGGAGATAAATAGATAAATTCACACATGGCAAAATGTAAACAATGGAACAATCTCTATATGACTTTAAAATAAGAATATTTAAGATCCTCAAGTAGATACAGATAAGAATGTTACCCAGCAAGAGAATTTTGAAAATACAGTAGATGGATATGAATAAAAAACCAAGCAATCTCACTTCTGCACATATATCCAAAGGAATTGAAATTCGTATGTTGAAGAGATGTCTTCACTCCCATGTTCACTGCAGCTCTATTCACAATAGCCAAGATATAGAAACTATGGAAGTGCCCATTGATGGACAAATGGATTTTTAAAATGTGGTATAGATACAAAATGGAGTACTATTCATCCTTTAAAAAGCAGGAAAGTCTGTCATTTGTGGCAACATGGATAAACCTAGAGGACATTATGCTAAGTGAAATAAGCGAGGCATAGTGAGACAAATAGTGTATGACATCACTTATATGTCAAATCTATAAATGTCAAACTCAAAGAAGTAGATAATAGAACAGTGGTTACCAGAGGCTGGGTGGGAGTGGAACAGGCAGAGAAAGGAGAGACATTGGCTAAATGGTACAAAGTTTCAGCTGGACAGGTCTTCCTGTTCTGGTGATTTATTGCAGAACATGGTGACTATAGTTAATAATAATGTATTGTATATTTTAAAATAGCTAAAAGCAAGGATTGTAAATAGTATTACCACAAAGAAATGATAATTATTTGAGGTGATAGATACGCTAATTAGCCTGATTTGATTATTTTACAATGTTTACACAATTATATGTCAATTAAAAATAAAATTTCAAAAAAACCTAAGAGAATTTTCAAAAAATGAATTCCTGACTCTCAAATACATATAAAATAAATGTGTTATAGGTTTTCTTTAATGTAATAAGAAAACTAGGCAGATGTTACAATGAGCTCAAAAGAGAATCCATGAACGGATACATTTATAGATCAAGAATATTAAAACGTGTGCAAACTTTTTCTCTGGGATAAAAGAGACAGAATTTTTATGTCTATAGACAAGAATTATTTTGCATAGCTATCAGTTATCTACAATATATAGAGTTATAAAATATCTCCATAGAATCAGAATTTAACAACCCCAAAAGGTCTCCTCTAGAGTCTAGACAATGCATGGTTTTCCATTAAAACACAACTTTTTCTCTCTACAACCATGATCAAATGTTAACATTAGCTCACTTTAGTTTGCAGGTACAGATGACTTTAAAAAAAATACTTTCTTTTGTACTTTTCTTCATTTAAAAAAGTTTTAATTTTTTAAATTAAAAACAACTATATTTGGCTGGGTGCAGTGGCTCACGCCTGTAATCCCAGCACTTTGGGAGGCCGAGGCAGGCGGATCATGAGTTCAGGAGATCGAGACCATCCTGGCTAACATGGTGAAACCCTGTCTCTACTAAAAATACAAAAAATTAGCCGGGTGTGGTGGCAGGCGCCTGTAGTCCCAGCTACTGGGGAGGCTGAGGCAGGAGAATGGCGTGAACCCAGGAGGCAGAGCTTGCAGTGAGCTGAGATTGCGCCACTGCACTCCAGCCTGGGCGACTGGGCAACAGAGCGAGACTCTGTATAAACAACAAAAAAAACCAAAAGCAACAACAACAAAAACAACTATATTCTCACCACCTCTCAACTCGAGATTCTGATTCTGTAGGTTTGGAGATGGGTCTAAGGTTTGCAATTTTTTAATTACAAGGTTATTCTGATGTGCAGCTGGTTTGGGAACCTTTTACTAGATGGTAACTAACATTCCTCCCAACTCTGAGATTCACAGCAAATGCCCTTGTTTCCCAGTTTGGTGGCAAGGGTGGGATCAAGGCCTAGGTTAGCTAATGGCTAATGAAAGGCTAGAGGCTTAACCCAGAGAAGAAAGTCACAGCAGCCCATTCTATGTCTTGGTTGGCAGGATGCAAATATCAGGTGCCAGACATTTTTTACAGATGAATTTACCATTTCCTTGGAGCAGAATTAGGATAACAGTCACCCAGTGCAATGTCTGGGCAGGCCTATTAATTGCTCTGAGCCTCATTATGTGTGCCCTGTCTACATCACAGGCTACTATGAGAATGTATTTGGAGCTGCTTTATAAACTGTGAAGCGCCTACTCAATGATAAAATGTTGCAATAATGCTTATTAGTACTTACTGGTCATTATTTTGGCAAACCAATTATACATAGCAAATTAGAGATATGCTAGAAATTATACTATGCTTTTTTTATTTGGGGGGGTAAGGAAGAGAAAGGAAAAAATGAGGCTCTTTCCTAGCAGCATAAAAATATGTTTGGAAAAAAACCTAGCCAAACCTAAGAGTCATGAATTGACTTTTAGATAGTAGATCCGATCAGCTTAGGGACCCAGTCATGTAAACAAGATAATAATTTATATTAAAATACAGTTGGGCCAGCTAGCACCGGATGGAAAAGCTCCACACTGTTAGGAGTTGTTCATGAGTATAATGGGATCCAATTGCTTTAAAGGGGATTCTGTGATTGCTTGGTATGTTAGGCTGACCCAAAAGTTCCTATGAAAATAAACAAGTGAAATTCTCAAAAACACATGGTATTCATCAAACTCATCTCTATGACTTTTCATTGTCATCCTCTATGGCTATCTGAATCCTACTCATTTTCCAGATCTGCTTTCTTCCTCCATGGATCTTTATTTTATTGCCCATCACAAGTCATAACTGTTTCTCCTTCCTCTTCACTCTAAGCAAAACTTCTGGTCTTCATCACTCATGTAACTTTTGCTCATATTCCATGGCATGACTGTCATGGAGGACTTGCCAGCCCTTTTTAACAACTTTGTCTCTTCCTTCCTAGGTGATGTAGGAGAGGAGAGACTTTCCCTCTACCTTCCTAAATTTGATAGCTGGGTTTATCCAATAAACTGTCAACAGGCAGATCAATAGGAGAAAAGGTACATAAATTTATTCATTTTTAACATTACATGCACAGGGGCATCATGCGGGAAAAGCACGTGAATCTCTGAAAGAGTGATGAGATTTGAGAGCTTCTACACCATCTTAATGGAGAAAAGGGAGGGAGGCATGTAGGTCATTTAGGAGAGAGTAAATGATTTTTAGAAAAAATGAGAGTCCTTAGAAGAATATATGGGAGATATGATGGTTTGTAACAAAGCTTGTCTGGGTGTTGTGTCAACTTCTAATTTCCTCTATGAGTCAATCTTCCCTAGGTGATGAAACTCCTGGGGGTCGGGGGAATTAAGACAATTGATTTCCTTTTAGAGGACCTGGACCTACCCTTAGGCAAATAAGGGATGTTTAGAGAAAGTCTCTCCCAGCATTTGCTGCTTTTCAAGTGCCTTCAGCTTAAAATAATCAATATACCAAAGCAGCATATTTCAGGATGATATGTCCTGAACTCCTTCAATGATAAGCAGTCTAGGGCCAACAGCAACGCTGTGAACATTTTTGAATCTCCTACTGCCCCCAGGCTCAGTATTTTATGCAAAAGATTGTAGACTCTGGTAACCTTTCTGAACCACTTAAGCCATTGACCAAGACTGTAGAAACTTCCAATTCTATATTGGAAGAGAATGAGTCTTACTTTTTTGCAAGGTCTATGGCATTGATTAATTTTAGAAATTCGTTTTATCTTTCATATTTAAGATATATTGTCACTGACACAAGTAGCTGAATCTGAAGAACAATTAAAGCCAGATATTTGAGCACAGCAGGACTTTGCCTACCTCTCTTGTCTCTTACCTAGAGTATCATTGGTGTCTATATTATTCACCTTCATAGCAGATAATTCTCTCCCTCAGGATAGGAAAATTGATTATCAAAAGCTGCTGGAGCCCGGGCTTGGTGGCTCACACCTGTAATCCCAGCACCTTGGGAGGCCCAGGCAGGCGGATCACCTGAGGTCGGGAGTTCGAGACTGACCTCACCAACATGGAGAAACCCCATCTCTACTAAAAATACAAAATTAGCTGGGCATGGTGGCATGCACCTGTAATCCCAGGTACTTGAGAGGCTGAGGCAGGAGAATCACTTGAACCCAGGAGGCGGAGGTTGCGGTGAGCTGAGATTGTGCCATTGCACTCCAGCCTGGGCAACAAGAGCAAAACTGTCTCAAAAAAAAAAAAAACCTGCTGGAATTTATAACTTATGGTTTCCCTCAGTGGGGAGAGACTAACATGCTTTTTTCTTTCTCAATTTCACAATTACTGGGAAAGCTCTTTAACTGGTCCAGCCTGGATCAGGTGATCATATCTGGACCAATCATCTTTAGTCAGGAATGAAGGTGAGGTTACATTAAAACACAGATTCTTCCATCTGAACCATGTGGTTAGAATGGGAGGAGAAACAAGACAAAACAACAGGTATCAATCATACTTGCACATCTCATCTTTCACCATTCCCAATTAAAATCCATTCTCCTTATTATTTCCTTATACATCTTGCTTCCTTTTGTCTCTATCCCTTTCCTCATAGGCTACCCTCCTGATTTATTTATAAGGCTTTGAGGCTTCTCTTACAAGAAGGGTCCCCTGCCTCCAATCCTCAGGTATCAATTACTTTTGTACAAATATTTACATTCCCCTTACCATTTTTGGTCAAATGCTGTATCATAATGGCATGCATGGTATTGTAGTTAAATTAAGAAGACTCACATTCAGGTTCTTATCCTAAGATTTGCTAGCTGTATGACTCTCTGGAAATTCTCTAACTTCTCTGGGCCTCAGTTTTATCTTAAATCTCGATAAAATGATCATAATGTCTACCTCACATATACATTTTAACATCCAAGTGAAGTAATGCATTAGAAATTACTTTGTAAATTACCATAAACATAAAAAGGTATTTTCATATCTCAATGCATGGTATGGGGAGGGGCTTTGACCTTACACTGGAACATTGATGAAATATGATTGCCCTTAATGCTAGGCTGGGCCCACAGAACACCACTACCATCTATGTCATAGTTCAGATAATGTTTGCATCACTGGATTAAGAAGCAATGGCACACTAATGCTCAATAGGCACAGGCAGATGCTCAATATCATAAGTCTTTAAGGAAAGGTCAACAGAAACTACAATGAGACACCACTTTATATCCACTTGGATGGCTATAATAAAAAGATAATAAGTGCTGACAAGGATGTGAAAAAGCAGGAACCCTCACATATTGCTTATAGGAATGACAAATGGTGCAGTCACTTTGGCAAATACTTCATCAGCTACCCAAAAAGTTAAATACGATTGGGTATTTATACAATTTCTGTTTACCATGTGAACCAGCAATTTCAGTCTTAGGTATATACCCAAGATAAATGAAAACATTTGTACACACAAAAATGTGTACACAAATGTTCACAATGGCATTATTCACAATAGCTAAAAAGTAGAAACAACTAAATGTCCATGAATTGATGAAGGGATAAACAAAATGCAGTATATACATACTATGGAATATTATTCTGTCATAAAGAGGAGGGAAGTATTGTACATGCTACAGCATGGATGAACCTTGTAAACATTAAGCTAAGTAAAAAAGCCAGTCAGAAAAGACTACATATTGTATGATTCTATTTATGTAATATGTCCAAATATTTGGAGACAGAAAGTAGACTAGTGGTTGCCTAGGGCTGTATGTGAGGGAGGGAAAATGGAGACTGGACTCCAAGTGGGTACAAGGCTTCTTTATGGGATTATGGAAAGGCTTTAAAATTAGATTATGGCAATGGTTATGCAACCTTGTAAATATTCTGGAAACCATTGAACTGTACACTTTAAACAGGTGAATTATGGTATATAAATTATCTCAATAAAATGACTTTTTAAATACAAAAGGATCATTCTTAAAAAGAAAAAAAAAATGGAAGTAGTGCCTTGTGCCAACAGGTGGGAAGCACTGATGCTCGGAAGTAGGGTTCCAACCAACACACTCAAATTCAGAGTTGGAACCTCCAGTCTCCCTGGTGGGGTACTAACAAAAGCTCTTTCACAAATCTCCATTCCTCTGCTTATGTACTTCCCTGGGCTCAACATGTCCTTTCCTTCTTGCCTACCAAGTAACTTCTTATTCCTCCTTTGAGAATCATCTCGGGTATCCACTTCTTGGGAGTTATTTCCTATGCTCTCTTCTCTTCCAGACGATGCTAAGGGCTTTCTCCTCTTCAGTTCCAAAAGGAACCCCACACATACCATCATCAGAGTGTTTATATCTGGCTCATCAATACTTTTATAAGTACACCTCCTTATCAGCCCCTGAGTCCCTCAAGGGGAGAGGCAATTTCTCTATCATTTTAATATCTCCAGCACTTGACAAGATGTCTGATCCAGGCAGACACTCAACCAATGCTTGCTGAATGGATAAAAAGGGAAGGTGCCCCAGAAGTAGACTGGAACACTACCTAGAGATTAAGATCAGGGGACTCAGAAACTAAGCCCAAAGTAAAAATCCCATTGGAAAGGAAAGCTGTGTGGAAGTCACCTCCCAAGGCAGGTTCTACATAGGGAATGGGCAAAAGTGACTCAAGGAAGAGAGTATCTCCATGACCAGCTGCCGGAAGTTCAGTGGGCCCAATTGTGGGCAGCTGGGGATGGCACAATCAATGTACATGAGGTGGGGTGGCTGGCTACTATTATTACCTAGTTGTTTCTCTACTTTATTCAATTGAATTATAAAGTCCTTAAGGTTAAGCACTAGAACTTCTTCTTTTATGTGTTCCATAGATACTCCACAAAATGTTTGTTAAATGAGATAATTTTACCATAAACATTTCTTCCTCAAAAAGAGTGAACAGTCTATTTCCTTTTTTCTGATTCAATATATTCTAAACTCTCAAAATGAAATGTAAAACACAGGAAAGTGGTTCCCTTCCAATTTGAGATAAATCCTGTGGGTTTAAGAGAAAATATGTTATCACTGAAGAACTAACTCAAATCATGAAACTAAGTGAAGACAAAACTGCCTATCATGATAGCAACATGACATATTCAACATCTATTTGTTTATTTGTTATTGACTATCTTTCCCTGTAAGATGCAAACTCCATGAGAGCTGAGAATTTTATCTGTTTGTTTCACCAAGGTATCCTCAGCACCTAGAGCAGTTTCTGGCACATAATAGGTACTTAATAAATACCTGCTGATAAAGAGAGGCAAGGAAAGAAGAAAGGAGGGATGGAGGGAGAGAAGACTTTTAGGTATAGAAATGTATAAACACCATAAATTAGTGCCAGATCTGTCTTACTTAACATTGTTATAAGTGATACAAAGAAAATGCCTGCTAGAATAAAATTTTCCACAAAGCTCTTCTGTACAGTGACATAGCAAGGCAATAAGAATAAACTGTAAAAGAAAATAACATGGACATGTGAGTAGGCAGAAAAATAGCAAATAAGCTCCATGCAGACTGATGTAAGATGATATAATAACACATTACGGGAAAATGGTACAAATGTGCCTACAAGATAATGGTTCCTGACAATCAGATCAGAACCAGGAGAGAACCTGAAGGAGTTGTTGAATGTAGCCTACTTTATGCCCAAGAGTTATGCTTCAACCTCAATGCAGTGAAAGAAATAAGTCCCATATTATTTTAATTATGCAGTTCTGGACTTGGATGAAAAATATCTCTGAAAAATAAATACTTTTTTTTCTAATAGTTGTGCCACAATTTTGTTTACTCTCATTCTATGTCCTCCATTCAAGCCTGTTGTGTATGGATGTGGGCCCATCTTCTTGCCAAAAAGGTGGGCATAGCCTCAGTTTAGGTGACACAGTTAGGGTGTCCTCTCTGTGGGAAGAGCTTCTGCAACTCTTGCTGTGGTAGGCTCAGCTGCTCTGAATAAGACAGACCCAATGCCCTTCTGGCTATAGCTAAATAGAATCTGAGCAGTATTTACTATCCATATTTTTTGCCCTTGTTCTCCGTATAAATCTAGTTTACTTAAAGTTGGCTTGAGTAGGCTTCTATTTAGAGTGATCCTCCCTTATCAATTACCCCCAGTGGATGCCTGCAAATGCAGACAGTTTTGAACCCTATGTATACCATGTTTTTTCCTATGCATACATACCTATGATGAAGTTTAATTTGTAAATTAGGCATAGTAAGAGATTAACAACAATAACTAATAATAAAATAGAACAAGTATAACAATATGCCAACATTGCTACTTTTGCACTGTTGGTCCTTTATTAAGTAAAATAAGGGTGACTTGAACACAAGCCCTGCAATACTGCAGCAGTTTATCTGATCACCAAGATGGCTACTAAGTGACTAGCGGAAGGGTAGCATGTACAATGTGGGTACCCTTGACAAAGAGATGATTCTCATCCCAGGCAGGATGGAGCAGGATAGTGTGAGATTGCCTCACACTACTCAGAAGAGAATGCAATTTAAAACTTATGAATTGTGTATTTCTATAATTTTCTATTTAATATTTTTGGATGGGGGTTGACCATAGGTAACTAAAACTGCAAAAAGTGAAAGCACGGATAATGGGGGACTACTGTACGGCAATCAAAGAAACCCCAAGTATCAGTAGGAACTCTATTTCAAGAGAAAAAAAAAATCCCCTATCCCATCCTGCATAAAAATAGATGCAAATCAATTCAACTGGTAAAAGGACTTGAAAGCAGATTCTGGAAACAGATGAATAGTTTACCCAAAGTTGGAAGCAGTCCCAATCTAAATGTACCTTGGCCTATATCTGGAGAGCTTTTGTTTAAAATTCAACTCAGACAGAGTGAGGTCAGAGGGTAACTCCTGACCAGCTCCCCAAATATTGCTATCTAACACCCAGTGCCAAAAATAGAGTTACTTTTGTGTCAATAGACTATGATCTGAAAATCTATGCTTTTATATGATTTTCCTATTGTTTTTCATTGTTGGCCTTCACATGAAATATTTATTTTGGGGAAAAAAATTCAAGACACCATAGTTCGTTGGATTTAGTTTTGGCCTCTGTACCTCACGAATGCCAATGTAGGGCCAAAGGCTGAAGAGCAACTAGGATGACTGAAGGAACTGATGACCTTCCTCACTAGGTTAATTGTCTTTTAAATTAGGATTGCAACATGGAAAAGCAAGAGTTTAGAAGGGTTATTAAAACTAATGAATTCATGAATTATATGTAATTTTTATGTTAACTTATTTAATCCACATAACAATTCTATAAGAAAAGTGCAATTATTATCCCCATTTCACATGGGGAGGTTGAGTAAATTGCTTAAGCCTCACCATGGCAATCTTGGATTTGATTCTAGCTATTCTTTCTGCTTGGTTGGTTGGTTGGTTGGGGTTTTTGTTTGTTTATTTTTTGAGACGGAGTCTTGCTCTGTCTCGCCCAGGCTGGAGTGCAGTGGCATAATCTTGGCTCGCTGCAACCTCTGCCTACTGGGTTCAAGAGATTCTCAAGCCTCAGCGTCCTGAGTAGCTAGGATTAGAGGCATGCACCACCATGCCTGGCTAATTTTTGTATTTTTAGTGCAGACGGGGTTTCACCATGTTGGCCAGGCTGGTCTCGAACTCTGGACCTCAAGTGATTCGCCCGCCTCAGCCTCCAAAAGTGCTGGGATTACAGGCATGAGCCACCACACCCGGCCCTGATTCTAGCTATTCTGGCACCAGAGTTCATGATATTCACCATACACTAGATGACCCCCAATGTATTAAACTCAGCTTGGAATATAAGTTGGAGCATCTTATAAGTTGGAATACTTACAAAGCATGTAAAACTCTTTACATGAAGGTGTGGCTACAAATATAAATAGGCATGACTGCTAAATTCATGAATGTTAAATTCATAATATTACATGAAATGACACTAGGGACATCAGAGGTTATCAACCTACTGATGTTGATGAAAGGGGGCAACCATAATGTCTTCCTAAACTCTGCTTTAGAGACCCTGTTCCAGACAAACCAGAGACATGTGGAAGCCAGCTTCATTCCATACAAAAAGTCTCATGTCCCTATCATATGTCATAATAGTTATGGAAGTAATATTTTAATGATCATTAATAGGTCTCCACAGCTGGTGGCTCCTACTGCTGGTGATGGAAAGTGCAGAATGGTCAATAGATTCTGGTCCCACTGGCCTTCTCATGCATGTATTCATGCTGGGCTGTCTCCATTGCATTACTTCTTTGCTCATGTCTTGATTTTTTACACCCCATCTGTCCTCTAAGGAATATTTTGAAATCAAAATTTAAAATGGTAAAATAAACTTAAAATAACTTTTCTTTAATATTTTTATTCTGTTATGAAGTGTTATCTCACAATTTTACATGCAGCCACAAATACAAAATTTATGGTAGCTGGGCCTGAAGCGTCTCCATATTAAAAAAAAAAAAACTATCCTGTAACTTTCAATGTTCATTAAATGTGGGAAAGGTAAGTTTAGTGAATGAGTTTTGAAATCTCTCTGTGGGAGATTTTACCTAAACACATTTATGTAAACTACTGAAAAGATAAAAAATGTTGAGGTGGGGTTGGAGGGAGGGAGGAGCACTGTTGGGAGAGATTTCACTTGGTGACTGTTGCTATAGGAACCATTTACCAATTGCTCAAGATATCAGTTCCCAAGAAAGACGGGAATAGCAAACAAAATAAAAACAACAAATGGAGAAAACAGTGGGGTCTGGCACCAGAAAAAAACTACCTTTTTTATGTGCGTACACTTGAGAAGATGATATTTTCTCAGGGAGGAGGTTGGGTGGGGAGTAGGGAGGTAGATTCCCAAAATGTGGTGACCATTCTCTCTCAATGAGCAGGTGGTCATGTGTTAAACAAGAGGGAGGTCCTGACTGACAGCCACATCTTCCTCCATAGCTCACTGCCACTCCATGAGTCAATCTTGAGAACGATCATAAACCTTGACTGCAATTCCTTTTTTCTTTTCAACTAGCCTAAAGAACAACATAGTAAGTATACTCAGTGTGTTTGGTAACTGGTCAACCATTCTCCCACTTAGAAGTTTCTTATCATTGCCTTTAAGACCAATAAGCACAAAATCTCAGAGCAGGAGGGTATATTTGAAATCCCAAATGAGAAAAATATGCCTTGCTCAAAGCCAGGCAGCCCAGCATATTGCTTTAAAGTTATGGCTCATTTGCAAGTTCTGTTCACTCAACGCATAGAGCTACCTTCCAAGTGAACTGTCAGGTTAAAAACTAAACTTATTATTTTTTATGTTCCAATTAATACACATTTTTATGCTGCTATGAAGGCACAGTAATCATGATTGATGCCTGGGACCTCAATCCTTCCAGATTTAGCTGAGTACTTTATCCTGATTGTTTCTCCATCCTTTTCCCCTTGATTTATTTGCCTTCTCTCTGGCTGTACGTCACCTTCTATTTGATCATTTGTAAAATGTTTGCTACTATTTCAAAGCTGAGCAAGATTGAGGAAGTTTCCATTAATTTCTTAAATGGAAGAAAATGTTGAAATAATCACGAATCAATTTTTTAAAATTTATTTGTCATTCTCAGTACCATCTGTCCCCTTATTTCTCTAGGTGAGAAAGTCAGATTCAGATTTACCAATGGACCCAATATCATCTCATGAAAATGCTGGCTGAATTTCCCAAATACAATTAGGGGAAAAACTAGATTTGCTCAAGGCAGGGGTTACTACCCATCAGTGGGAGGTAGAAATATTGGTAATATCTATATGCATGGGCATATACCAGGACTGGCAAACTTGAATGCCTTTGGAGTATAGGCAGGTGATATGAATGAGTAAAACCAGTCTGACGGAGATATTGGTGAGCTGAAGAGTGCATAGCCTGTCTAAATGGATCAGGTTAGGGAGGGTGGAGGTAGTACAGGGAGGAGAATACAAATCAATTATTCAGCCCCAGCTGCTGATGCCATGCAGAAATGTGGGGTCATATTTTCCACATCATCCCATTTTCAACAGAGGAAAGAAATCTGGATATTCTGACACATTTCTTATTTTCCAAATTTCTTAACATTAAAGTCTGGTCCTCTGTTATCCCCACTCATTCTTTTGAACTGTTATTCAGGCTTATGTCATTAAACACCTCTTCTTACCAATGGCTCCCAAATTTATATCTTCAACCAAGAAGCTTTCCTAAACTCTGACTTGCATATCCACTATCCTCTTTGACATCTCCACTGAGATGTCCAACAGACATTGTTAATGTAACATGGTGAAACTGAACTCCTGATCTTTCCTGCAAAAGTTTCTCTACCCACAGCTCTCCCCATCTCCCTGATGGCAGTATCATTCTCAGGCCAGAAATTCCAGAAACTCTGCAGTCATTTTTCACTTCTTTCCACATCCAATGTAATAGACCTTTTTGTGTTTACCTTTTGAAACACTCACACTCCCACAATTTTTCATAACCTTCACTGGTACCTCCCTATCCAGCATCATTTTTCATTTTGCAGTACTTCAAAAGATTTCTGTTTGGTCTTCCTGAGTCTATCCTTATCTCTTTCCCTACAGCCTATTTTCAACAAAGAAACCAGAGTAATTATATTTAAATATAAGTTAAATCAGGTCATCTGCTATATACCTTGCAGTGTTCCCAATCTCAGTGACAGTAAAAGTTGGCCCTTAGAAAAGCTCATAAGGCCCTACACCATCCAGTCCCTCATCAATTAACTCACCTGACTTTTTACTACCTTTTCAGTTGCTTACACCACTCCAGCCCCAGGGTCTCCTTGTTATTCCCCAAACAAGCACCCATGCTCCCACCTTAGAGACTGGGCACTGGCCATTCCCTCAGCCTGGAACATCCTCACTGCTCATGTTTATAGAGCTGACACCCTCACCTCCTGCAAGAGTTTGTTCAAATTCTTCCTCCTCAACAAGGCATCCCATAGCCCACCCCATCCTCCTTCTAAACCCCTATTACCCCAATTGACTTTTTTTCTTAGCACTCACTTCCTCAGATACTATATGTTAATCATTTAGTATGTCTTTTATTTATTGTTTTTCTCTCCCTGCTAGAATATAAGTTCCATGAATGCAGCTTTGTCTGGTTCCTTAATGAACTCCAAGTTCCTGAAACAGTACCTGGCACATGCCCAATAGATAATTGTTGAATGGATTTTTAAAACTTGGGAATTATTTAAACAAACAAATACAAAGTGTGTGGGCCAAACAAAAGAACCCACAGGTCAAGCCTATGGACAACCTACTGGGGATCTCTGGTTATGAGAAGCAGAGCAGCCCCTTCATCCTTCCTCCTCCAACATCCCTGGTCTACCCAATCTGTACAAGCATCTCTTCTTCTATTCCAGATTTCAAAAGCAAATAGTATACCAAATTAGTGTGTGTGGAGTGTTGGGTCTAGACATATCCTTGACTTCCTCTCTGCCTCCTATTTCTTCCACTACTCTCTCCAAACTTGCTCCATCCAGAAAACAACATTGCAGACTCCATCCTGGAGACAGGGCTGAGGGAGACATCCAGGAAGAATGCAATGTGCCCACTGTAATACTTGCCTACCTACCTCCTCTGTTGTTGAGGCTAGAACTGAGCATCACTAGCCAGAGCACTCACCTGTCAGGATGTCATTACCGTTGCTTTAAATCATGTTTTACATTCAACGTTGAAAACCAAGGTGACATGGCATGGTGAATTCCAGAGCAAACAGACCCAGTTGAAATTCTGCCTCTGCCCATCACCGTGGGCACCTTACTCACACTCACTGAGTTGTAGATTCCTCATCTGTTTGAGAGGAGTCATCATAGATGAGGATTAAATGGGATAATAAATGCCAAATGCTTGGCATATAGTAGATGCTTGATATTTTCTTTTCTTTCCACCAAACCAAATGTTTGCTAACTCATTCTAGAAAGTTTGGTTCCTCCCCTTCTGCTAAATCACTTTCAGCAAAATTATAGCTTTCTTTGAATCTACTGCCTATATCATAAATATTTCCTAAATTCTGGAGTCTGTTCTCAAACATTTCTCTCCAAAACATTCTTTAAAATTCTATGTTTCTCTCCCTCACTTAAAAATACTGCTGTTGCTACATAAGAATTAACCTTTTCAGAGACTTGCATGGCTTCTGTATATTTGCTACTTAAGACTTCAGCACAAAGACCAAATATATAGACTGATTAAAATAAAGGCAAATCAGAAATGGCATTTAAAAGTATGTAAATTCACATTTTTAAAGTTCCAGACTAATTTTTAAAGCACTCTCTGTCCCACCCCAAAAGGTTTGGTTGCTGGTTTTTGTCTAAATTAATCCAGTAGCAACAGACTCGCGTGTTCCTGTGTGACCTGGAAATTCCCAAGTAATCACTTTTGAGTAGCAGATGTTTAGATAAGCTAACATGTTCTTAAGGAAATAAATCCTTTTATGATGATTTCAGAATGGATCTGTATATTTGGCTCAATACTTTAGGGGAACTGCATTCTCCAACAGGTGAAAATAAATACATGCAGAGCCAGGGCTTAAGTCAAAAGAAGAGAATCTGGCACCTATTTTCTAGTGACTACATAAAGACAGGCCAGGGCGCTGACCCCAGGATGCGTGTGGGTCAGAAGGGCAGGAAGGGAATCTGCTAGTCCTCTTGTTCTCTTTTAAAGTCTTGTAAGAGCTAAATTCATGTCATTTTTAAAAGAGGGCTTGAGAAAGGAAGCATTGTCAGAAAGATAACTTAATACTTACAATACTTATAAAGATGAGACATTATCATGCTGTGTGTTGAAGCAAGTGGGGACGTAATACAACCTGATACCAGTCTCATCAGCAAATATTTGTTAGGTATCCTTGGGAATGAGGCAAGTAGCCGATAAGCAGATGGACACAGAGGAGTGTTGGAGTGACCCCAGACATTTAGGTAAATATGTTGGCAGGGAACTATTTATTATTACTCTGGGTTTTGTTTTGCTGTTTGTTGTTTTGGTTTGGTTTTTACTAGTCCTCTGTCCCTTCAGTTTCTGCAAGAAAAGGCTTTCAGTCACCAATACCTTTGTAGAAAGAAAGAGAGAGAGAGAGAGAGAAAGGCAAAAAATACTTGTTCATTAGCTTTTTCCTTCAGGCAAAACCAAGTGCTATGCTTTAGCACTCCACACCTGATAAAGCCCTAAACCTTCCATTGTGACAGGCCGCAAAGAGAAAGGCAAGCAATCTCTGCTCTAAGAGAGCCTCTTCCTTTCCTTTTTCCTTCCCTTCCTTCTTCCTTCCTTCCTCCCTCCCTCTGCCCCTCTAGTTTTCTCATTTCTTTTCTGTTTTTCCCCCTTTCTGTTGGCACAGCTTCCCTCTTGGTTGTATCTCTCTTTGCTTGAACTTTTCTAATACTTTATGTTTATCCACAAACCTCGTGCAATTTTCTCAACAAGAGAGATTATGGAGGTACTGCACATACCTACACAATTTTGCTCACATCAGGATGGAAGTTTAAAAAAATTTTTTTAATCTAATTTTATTTAACAGGCAAACAACAACTTCAGTCAAGATCATAGACCCAACGTTTTCCACAAAGTGAGCATATAAACTCAGTGGTCTGGGGCCTGTGGTCAAAAAGACATGGTAGTTCTACACTCTTCAGATCTTTCCAATTAGAACTTGAAAGCCCATTTTCCTCCCAGAGAAATGCCAGATGCATTCTTCTTTAATGAGCTTAGGACCAAAACTGCAATATGATCTCCTGCTTCAGGTGGAACATGGATAACAACTTAGAAAGAAAAGAGAATGGGGTCTGCAAGAGGATGTAGATTGAAGGATTACCTTAATTAAATGTAAAAGTAGGATCAGAGAGGTTGGAAGACCTTAAAGAAACATTAGTTCTGTGGTCTTAGAGACAAAGCCATGTAGGGCAGCTGTTCCTCTATTTGGGGGAAAAAAAAAAAAAAATCCAAGTCTGAATCTTTATACAATATTTAAAAAAAATAAGGTAGCCATGACAAACACCCCATACAATATTTAGTTCTCAGTTGGCTTTTGCCTCTTCTAATTCTGTGCATTCTATCCAGCTCAAACTCATAAATTAGATTTTTCTTTCTAATAATCCCTGACTCTACCAGTTCATTATCTTTTTTTGAGTTTTAAAATTCAGGGTGCAGGTAGATAACAATTTAAAGTTTAATTCAAATGAAAGTATTTATAGTTTGGCTCAGCATATTTTGTATGGTGTTTCTAAGAGTGACCAGGACTTTAAAATGTTGCGATTTGGATTAAATAAATTATAATTCATTCAAAAACAAGAAATTATGCAGCTATGAAAATGACTGAGGAAACCATGTACTGAGATAAATTTAAGTCAAAGATATGTTTAGTGACAAAGTAAGATGCAAAACAGCATGCAGAGCATATTGACTTTTGCATTAAAGTAGGTGAGAACTATATATATGTGTTTGTTTACTTGGATGTACAAAAAGAAATATAAGAAAAACACACACGAAACCAATAACAATATTTAGGGCATGAACAATGGGCAGAAGATAACTAGGTGGATTGGGTACAAGAGTGAGGAGGCATTTTACTGTATACAGTTTTAGATCCTTTAACCATGTGACTATGTGTGTGTGCATGTGTATGTGGTGTGTGTGTGTGTATATATATATATATATATCATATATACTATATGAGAAATTTATATATAATTGTAAAGTTCTTCACTAAACCAAAACATAAATAAAGTGCAGGAGTCCAAAAAAATTGCAAGCTGATGAATCTATGGGAAGAATATATAATAGTGACCTGTATTTTATGTGCAAACCCTGTCATCTTGTGTCTTGCTAATATCTCAAGGATAAGCTACCAAATGCCTACAGTTTGACCACTAGGTAAAAGGAGAGATCAGGAAACTTCAGAAAACACAACCACCTGATAATCTTCTTAAGGGCATTTGGAATGCTCAGTGATCCACGAATGTCAAGGCAAACTTCTGATATGCCTCTTCCAAGTTCCATATAAATCTCTTTATCTAAGGTAAACTTTGGGTCAGTAAGAAATGCCAGGGACCTTTGTTTTATGCTCCTGAGTGTTTTAGATGCATTATTTCACGTATACTCCTAATAGTTCAAGACATATACAGCATTTCTAATATCTTTTCGTAAGCAGAGATGGTTAAGGCATTGAATAATCCGGCCCTGACTATGACAGTATGCTCAGTGGCAAAGGAGAAAACACTTTAGTTTGATTCCTAGCCATAGCATTACAAGGATTCAAAGCCTTTCACCTCCTGTCCATTTCTATGTTAGTTTCCCCTCAAAACACTCCCCATTCTCCTGTTACAATACCAGCTTCAGTGTAATTTTATAGCTCATTTCTTATGTACCTAGATTCCTTTCTTTTTTCAGATGGCATATTTGCCTCTGATATCTGGGGAATGCTTATCATTGGAATTATTAAATGTACAAGCTGACACAACAAACCACCAATTTGTTATTTTGATGAAAATATTTTTGTATTTTCAGCAGATGGCTAAAAAATGTTGCCTTTGTTATACAGTCTTTGTTTTGACAAAGACAAAAAAGAGAGAGAAAGAAAGCTCTGGATCATTTTTCCAGTGAAACTTAATCTAAAACCAAACAATTTAGCACGTGACTTCTGAGTGTGTTCCATGTGTTTCTAGAGCCCATTTCCCTGGCAACCTCCACACTCTCCCAGCTGTAGAGGTCAACACAATAGACTTGTCACAGGTTTTAAGTCGGGTAACCACTTTTAATTTGGAGAAATTATTACCCGGGGAGAAAATAGGCTGGTCCTATACTTCAAAGAAAAAAATAGAAATCAAGATGCACACGGCCTCCTGAATTGGACCGACTTAATGGTGCTGTGTGCCTCATAAGCAGCTGTTCAAATAAGTAGCTGCCCAGAGGAAATGTATATTCAAATGCTTCTTGTCATTTGCTTCTCCTTGCTTCACACCTAAAAGCCAGATGCAAGCTCTTCCAGGGCTAACAAATAGATGCCTTCTGGTGGCTCATTATGGTAATTACTGGCCATATATTACTGCCATGTGAAAAGGGTTGTAAGGCAGGCCAGCCCAGGGGCATTTACAAGTGGTTTATTTGTGTTGAGCTATTAAGAATCCGCCAGTTATCAGATCAACCACTGCTCTTTGGGTTTTACAAGCAAGTTGTTCCCTAACAATCTGATCCTTCATCTGCTACCTTTGTGATATGTTTAAGCACCACTTAGAGACCTAACATACTGCTTAGGAAACTTACTTTACCTGTTTGCAAAGAATTTCCAAAGTCCACTGCATCCTATGAACAGTTTCTGCATGAATCCTTCCCAACTCCCTCCCCTCCACCCTATGCCTGCAAAGGCTGCATAGCTTGCTCTATTCTTTGATCGAAGAGGTGTGTAACAGGGCTACACACCTCTTTGTTGGCCATAAGCACCTTCTTGGTGTAAATGAACATGGATGCAACCGAGTTTTATGAGTTTGGACAACCTCAGCGTTCACTTCAGGTTATGATGAGTCTGAAGCTCATTACAAGTTAGGGGGAAAGTCTTCTTTAACAAACAGAATAGAACACTTATGAATATAAAATTAAGCACAGAAATGAATATTTGGAATAAGAAACAATTTTTTAAAAGCTGAAAATCTATAAACATCTGGCCCTAAAAAAAAAATCTAAAAATCGAAAAACAAAACAAAGAAGAATAACATGACTTTTAGAAATTAACTTCCCAACTTTCCTATAATGCTGTTGTTCTTACTTTGGGGACAACAGAGTCTTTGATTGCCTTTTCATATGACAATGGTTTGTTTGTTTGTTTTGTGTTTTTGTGAGATGGGGTCTCACTCTGTCTGGAGTGCAGTGACGCAGTCATGGCTCACCACAACCTTGACCTCCTGGGCTCAAGTCATCCTCCCACCTCAGCCTCCCAATTAGCTGGGACTACATGTGCACACCACCATGCTGGACAGTTTTTTAAGTTTTTGTAGAGATGGGGTTTTGCCATGTTGCCCACACTGGTCTCAAATGCCTGGGCTCAAGTGATCCTTCCACTTTGGCCTCCTAAAGTGCTGGGATTACAGGTGTGAGCCCCTGTGCCCGGCCTAACTATTTTTATATAGAGAAAAGAAAGATGATTCAGACTTTATTTAGCATCATTGATTAAAAAAAATATTACCTAGTTTGAGAAAAGTTCCTTTCAGCTTCATGATATAGAAGCTTCATGTAAATTCTAAAAATTTTTAGAATTCTGTTAAATTTGGGGAAATGTTCATTAAATTTTTTATATATGAGCTATAATATTTCAGGGCATTTTAAGTTTTATTTTGCAGTAACTAATCTTAAGTACACTTTGACTTGAAATATATTCATTTTTATAGATGACACCAGTGAAATATATCTTTCTTAATAAACTACTCCTTTTGTTTTAATCTGAAAATTCTTTTGTTTATGTAGCTGCTCTGTATCACAGTAATTTCTATTGATTTCATCACTCATTTTTAGTGTTTTTAGTTTCATATTCCATTATTTTTTCTGAATTTTCTTTTAGTTTTGTAATACATTAATAGATGATAAAAATGGTACTCTTCGAAAACATTCAAATCAGGAGAATACTGAAAAGAAATTCTCACTTGTTTTATTAAAGCATTTCAAAACATTTTACCAAATTTGTTTCTCAGTGTTAGAATAATTTTGCCAATTAACAAAAAACACTTAATATTTGGAAGGTGCCCATGCAAGCAAGAGACCATGAAGCTTAAGCTTCATTAGAGTTATAAAAAACAATCTGCTTTTGGGCCTTTAAGAGATAAGCTGATAGACAGGACTCACTTACCTATGCATCCCTGCTCCATACAGTCTATTGCCAAAGACATAGTCATTCAATTTAAATTTGGAAACAGGAGCTTCAAGCTAATTTTTTTTTAATGGTGGGGGGGTTTTCATATTCCCAGAATCCTCAGAGGATGTGGGATGGGGAATAGAGTGGGAAGGAGCTCTTGGTGTGGGAAGTGGGTGGCAGAAAAATGAGAAGAAATGGCTCTTGGAAACTGTCCACTTTTCAGCCTGGTGTCAGGACCTACAAGCTTATTTACACTCTACTTCTAATGGCAGGCATTTGGTTGTTGCAAATGCATAAATCTGCTTCTCACAGGAGACAGAATATTCAGCACATTTTTGGGGGCTGACATTATCTCACTAATTATAACAGCAAAATTAGAAATAATCTAAATATAAAAAAGCCAAGTGTTGGTTAGATGCCTTATTACATATCTACATAATGGACGCATGCAACATCTTAAAATGTTCCCTAATACTATATCTATTGATTTGAAAATTGTTAATAATATATTTTTCATGAAACAAAATAGATACAAAACAATATGAGGGGTAAAAATTCCAGTTTTGCTTATTAAAAAAAAAACAAACCCAACTTTTTATCTACATAGTCAACATAGATGTTATAAGTACCAAAGTGTTGAGAGTAGTTGTCTCTGGGCAAGTAGAATTGAAAGATTTGAAACTTCTCTTTAAAAAAAAAATGCTTATTCATATCAGTCATTCTTTTTCCTAACGACCTTCTTTCATTTTGGTAATGGGAAAATATTTCTAATGCAAATAAGGAAAATATCACTTTGATATTGGATTTCTTTAGTCTTTGCCAATAAAATAATTATCTGAAATTTAAATTTGTGTATGCAGTTTGATATTCATGTTAAAGCCCCATTTTCTGGAGGTCTTAATCTATTTCTAAGAAGAATTACTCTCCAGCATTTACTATAGCAAGAGGAGGGAGGTCAACTTCACATACGGCACACTGGGTTCTGCAAATTTCATCTGATTGGGGAACAGGCCAACATACCAAAAAATTAGTTCCAGGTGGCTGTAAGAGAAATGTTTTATGTTTAATTGAATTTTTCTAGGAGGTATGTATATGTAAAGTATTCTCTGGAAAAGGTTATATTTAGTCATTCACACTTACATGTATAGTCAAGAAAACATAGTACCCCCTAAGAAATGTAGGGTATGTGTAGATATTCTGCAGTGATTTGAGTTGCCATCAAGCAATATGTGTTGTTGTGAACGCAATATCAACCAGCACTTAGAATCTGGGAAGCTCAGAATGCACTCTTTTACATAACCTTACTGTATCTTTGGAAGAAAATGCAAAAGAAACATTGAGGAAACTTCTTAAAATGCACATTCCAAGGTCTCTCGCAGATATTCAGATTCAGTAAATCTATCATGTGGCCCAGGAATGGACAATTTGAATGGGGGCCCCTACTTGGAGAAATGACGTTTTAAGAAAGTGTGCCTTTTTTTTTTTTTTTTTTTTTAATATGGGAGAATTACAGCAGAGAGGAGGGAAGAGCCTTCTCTAGAGCTTCAAGGACGGTAATATGTGGAAAACAGACAAGAAGGGTTGCTTTTGGTCCTAAACTTTCTCCGTTCCTTCTTTACCAGCTAACAAACATGCCCCCTGAGTTGTATAATATGAACCCTTCGACCAAATTAATCGATGCCTCAAAACTGGTCCTCTGGCAGTTACCGAAATCATGCTGTGTGGAAAAACAATCCTTTTCTCCTCAGAGGAGCTTGAAACCCTGTTAAGAAAATGACTTAGGCCATACTTAAAAACCTGCCACCTTCAACCTTCTAAATCTCTGCTCCTACAGATTGCTGCCCCGAATACGTGTGCTTTGTCTCTGCTTGTGCTAATGGTTTTCTGTGTTCCGTTCTCCAACGGAAGACAGCACGTGACAGCCGGTGTCATGGTGCTGCTGAAAAATGCATTCTCCGTGCCCAGGAAGAACCTGTATAAATATTCTCAATAAATAAATAACAGTTGTCATTTTCAGAATATGACAATCTCCAGCTGCCTGTGCTTAAAGTGAGCGATGTGTCATTTAGCCTAATAGATGTGAATGCACGTATTGTACATACAAGTGACTCACCTAATTCTTATTCACTTCAGTCTTGGTCTCAGTTGGGGGCAAGTGCCTCTAACAGGGTTTGGCTGGATCAAATCACAAGCTGAAAAATCTTGGTCAATTATCGAAGCCCGAGGCTAAGGAGGGAGTTGTCTTTTCATACCTCCTCACAGACCCCTCCTCTTCCCGGGCTTACCTAAGACGCCAGTCAACCTCCCATTGACTGGCGTCTTAGGTAAGCCAGTCATCCCATCTGTGGAATTTCTGGGACTCTTTCTCCCCCCTGTAATTTAATGTGACTCAGTTGTTCTCTGTCCTGATAATACCAGTGGTGAGAAAGTCGCTTAATCCTACTGGCATCCCCTCTTGTCAGCACCTCTTTATTTCCCTCTTTAAAGGCTCAACATGTTTTGATTTACAATACTCACCAAGATAACTGCAGGTGCCCTCTCTAAAAAGCAAGGTTAACTCACCTGAGATGAATTCTTTTATTGTAAACAAAAGCAACACATGAGCAGGAAATACAATTAATACAGGTGCTTCTCTGAAATTTAGCAAATGTCTGTTGTTTTGAAAGGAAAAAAAAAAAAAACTCCATTGCCTGGAGGTTTGTGTCATGCCATTTCAGTGAAGAAGGGATTTGAATTAGAATACATTTGAAGGAAAAAGGAATAGCCCTCTATGTTCAGGAAAGGCCCCAACAAAGACCCCATGTAAGGAACTATAAATTGTTTAAGGACTCAGGTTATTCAGGGGTAAGCAAAGTGTTGACCCAAACTGATGCTAATGTCTGAATTTCTGGGTAGAAGCCATCTGATGAAATCATCAGTTTTATATGGAGTGCATGTGTAGAGCTAGCTATATTGTTGCTAAGTAACTTTTTAAAGTACTCCAGTTAAGGCAACCTTTGTAGAACCTGTCATTTGACTCTCCTTGGAAATATATAATGAATATATTAATTCAAGGGAAGTGTTTTTAACTCTGTTAGAGGGAGGCAGATGTGCTAACTTTCTCTTCAGTTTGCTTGAGGTTCAGAGTTCGCCATTCTGGTGGTTGACAGTTCGTTGTTTTAAAACCTCAGAAGTTAACCGAAAGTCTTTTATTATGAAGAGTAGGTAAATCTTTTCAGGTGTTGCTGAAGAGATTTGCTGTTCGTGTAAAGAAATGATCAAAAAAGGAAATCAAACAAAATAAATACTGCAGTCCTACCAAACAGCTTAATTTTGTGAATCTTGTGTAGTTAGAGAAAATTAAGATTAAAAGCCATGAAAAACAAAAGGGGGAAATTGTAGACTTAACAGGAACACCTGACAAGCCATTACAATTAAATTGCCAAGTATATTACATCTATTTTTAAAAATCTTGATCACTTCTCTAAACAAGTAATGTTTCTTCTGCCTTTTAAATCTTGGTCCTGGTATTCGTTTACTTTAGATAGTTTCATCAAGAAAAGTGTTACTTTTCACCACTGGCTTGGGGTCCTTTTTCATATGCATTCACCTAGGGAACCACATTCCTATGTTTGTAACCCCGACCCTCCCTCTGACAATCTTCTTCCTCCACAGAGCACACACATAAAATTATGTTTCTACAAATGATTTTGGCATAGCCACACTTCCTCAATGGCGAATCTACCTGCTCTTGGAATGACAAGATGACAAGACTGCATGCTCAATTACACCTGCTCCTCTTTTTAAGTAATTGCCTTAGATCTTGCCAAATTATGTTGCTAGTTTTCTCAGGCACTCTAATTTAAATTAGAATGAAGCTGCTAAACTTTTATCAATTACTACATCCTAAGCAATGTCTTTGTTTTCAAGAATTCTATCTTTCATGACCCAATTACAAATGGCTAAAGAATCCTGCAGTTTCAGACCCCAGTATATATAATCATTACGTTTCCTTAAGCATAGTCTGTATATATAACTGGTTTTTCTGTATCTGTACTTTTATATAACAAAAAAGAGTGCTTGTTCGTGGAGTTTCCTGTGACTTGTAGAAATAAAAATGGCAAAGGAGTTAAGTTGCCAGATCTAGCAAATAAAAATACAACATGCCTAGCTGAATCTGAATTTCTAATAAAAATGAACTATTTGTTAGGATAAGTGTGTCCCCTGCAATGTTTGGGACATAATTATACTAACAAAAATTTCTTGTTTATCTGAAACTCAAATTTAAGTAGGCACTCTGTATTTTATCTGGGAACCCTAAAGTTGAGTAAAGCCAAAACTGATTTATATTTATGTGTTTCTATGAGTAATATTTTACCGGGAAATGAATGAGTTATATTTCAATTTTGATATTGGGGAAATATGAGATGATTAATTTAAATAATTGGTAAAAAATAAAATATAATTGGCAAGAAATATTAGCCTGAATGGGGGTTTCATGCCTTTTTTTGCATTCTAGTAAAATATAAATTTTCTCTGTATGCATAAATGTGAAAACTCCATTGTTTTCTGCCTGAATTAGCATTTGTTATTTTTGTGCATGACCCTCTAAAACACTTTCCATTACTCAAGTCATCTGCAGTCACTCAAAACTAGTGAAGCCTTATGAGAAAAGCAAATGGAGAAATAGTAGTCTAATTAAAATTAGCTCAGTTTGAGGAAGAAGGGACTCTGCTTTAAATTGGGACTGTCATAGGAAAAATATTAGGAAACAAATACCTCAGGTAATTTTCAGAGTCCAAGATAATTTCTTTTCAAAATCATAATTTCAGTACAGAATGTTCTAATATTTACCTTTTTTAGTGGATGGGAATTTAATACCTGCAAACATTATAAATTATAAATGTAGGTTGTAAATGACCTTATGTCACTGGAGATGGGAGAGGGAATGAGGGTTGGATGTCTCAGCAGTGGCAGCAGGTGGGGGTACACACAATGGAGTTACACACAGGGACTGCCAGGTGCTTTGAAAATGGTTCATCCTGTGGTCTCACTTCAGCCTCGGGGGTATCCCTAAAAGGTAGTTACTTATGTGGTCTTACACTTGAGATCAGCTCAGCAAGAAGCACATACAGTGACCGAAGAGCACAGCCTGGATTCAAACCCAAGCCTCAATGTGTGCTCTAATCCGGGGATGGGCCGTTTCCACTCCCAGTGGGTTGAGTACCAGAACCACCTGGAGGGCCTGGTAGCAGGCGCCACTCTGTCCAGGCATGGAGGCAGCCAAGCAGAATGAGTCACCCCACCCTAAACTCAGGGGAGGACAATGGGAAGGCAGCAGAGGGCAGGTGGAAGGAGCTGAGAGACCAGGTCAACAGGCCTCTCAGCCACAAGCCCTAAGCAGTGCGGTTCCCACACCTGGGTGCAGCCTTCAGGCAGGCAATAGCCATCATCAGAGGCAACAGCCATCATCAGAAAACTTTTACTTTTATGGTTCATGATCATTAGAAAAATACTGTAGTTACAAAATCAGTTGAATGCATTTTCTCCTTATGATTTCTTTCCTCACAAATTTTATACTATAAGCCAATTTAAAAAAATGGTTTACATATACCCATGTGCTGCAAATTATTTTGATTATTAGAATTTTACACATTTCAAGTTTTATCATCTGTGTGCTAATATTTATTCTATGTATGAATTGGAATGATTCTTATTTATATTTCTTTCTTTCTTTACTATTACTTTTTGAGACAGGGTCTTGCTCTGTCACCCAAGCTGGAGTGCAGTGGTGTAATCACGGCTCACTGCAGTCTCCATGTCCTGGGCTCAAGCAATCCTCCTGCCTCAGCCTCCTGAGCTACCACATCTGGCCTATTTTTTCTTTATATTTAACATCTGTCTCTTAATAATCCTCACTGTCTTTTTTTCTTCCTTATTATTTAAATACATAGAGTTCAAAATGGAAAGAAAAGAGAGTAGTGGTACTTCTATCATTATGATGAAATGAGCTTTTATTATCAAATAATATACCTATCATGTCAAACCTAATGTTGTCACTATAATTTTGAAGTTCCCAAAATGATATACCTTTCTTCTCTCTCTCTCTCTCTCTCTCGTGTGTGTGTGTGTGTGTGTGTGTGTGTGTGTGTGTGTGTGTGTTTGTTTTTAGACATGATCTTGCTCTGTTGCACAGGCTGGAGTTCAGTGGTGTGATCGTGGCTCATTGCAGCCTCCACTTCCTGGGCTCAGCTACTATAGCCTCCCAAGTAGCTGAGACTACAGGCATGCACCACGACACCTGGCTAATTTTTAAATTTTTTGTCTCACTATTGCCCAGGCTGGTCTCAAAGTCCTGGGCTCAAGCGATCCTTCCACCTCGGCCTCCAAAAGTTCTGGGATTATAGGCCTGAGCCATCTGACCCAGCCACCTTTCTTCTTAGTTGGCTTGATGAGGTGTAAGGCAATGAAAACTACTCCTTTTAGGTGCTCTAAGGGGTGAACAATGGGCCTATAACATATAATACTTCGTTGTTAACATGACAAAGTATAGGTACCAGGTCTATTGGTACAAAGTTTTTCTGAACTCATTTCATCTAGCTTTCTACAGTGTTCAATAGTATGTGTTAAATATCTCTTCAGTGTCTGTGGGAAGATGTCAAATTTATTGAACAAGGTTATAATATGTGAGTATATTACATCTATGTACGTATGTATGTGTACACGTGTATTCTAATATTTAAAAATATGTTATTTTACCATAAACTATCCTACTCTCTAATGTTATCAGCATCAGTAAAATCACCTATCAGTTGCTTTAGAAGAGTTCAGAATGTCCATTTTCCTGGGGAAAAAAAAAAAACAAGAAAGTCTTAATCGTAATGCAGTAGGAAAAAATAGGCAAAAAAGTTCAAGATGCCCTGTGAGAACAGATCTGTCACCTGGCTGTGCACCAACCGGAAGCAAGGCACACACTCACTGCTTGCTGAGGTTATCTGAAGTGGAAAACTGGGGAAATATTCCCAACATGGGGGAGAAAGAGAGCAAGAAATGAAAAGAAAGAACAGCTCAAAGCAGATAGTGGAATGCAGGGGTGGTAATGGGTCAGAAGAACTGACAGCGCAAAATCAAGACTGCTCCAAGGAAGAGAACAGAAGCCTTTTTCAGAATAGAGGGAGAAAGTTATTTTTCTGAGATCTATGGAAATTAGTGCCCAAAATATGAAAGATGCCATGGAGAAAAAGAAGGTTCTGTGATCAAATATACTTGAGAAATACAAATACTATAATCTTGGAGATTTACAATGCATACCTAAACATTACCATTTCTGAGAGCTCCTATTTTTAAAAAAATCTCTTTAATCTTGTTAATAAATGTATTCATGTTTAATATTGGTGTTCTCACACTTATTTGACTATGATATTGTTTTTTTAAGACCACCTGGTAACATTCCCAATTGTATGAGTGGATGAAGCTGTGGACTCTTGTGTTTTGTGGTTAGCGGTTGTTCGGAAACCTGAATATGGATAATATCAACACCTCAGTGGTACCTGAAGACATCCATAATGCACTTGTAATGGGCAGTATAGCAAAGTGATTAAAAACAGGAGCTTTGAATTGGGTAATCCCTGGGCTCAAATCTCAGGTATTCTACCTGCCTTGCCAAAGTCCCTGACTTCTTTATGCCTCTATTTCCTCATCTGTCAAAAAGAGGGAAAAAATAAAGATAACAGGACCTATTTCATTAGTTTTTGGGAGGTATCAGATGAGATATTTCCTGTAAAACACATAACATTCTGCCCAGCACATGGGAAACAAAAAACCTAAAGAATCCAGCCTCAAATCTCCTCTTCTGTGAATTCTCTAGGAAGAGTTTTTATCTGGCTACTAAAGTGGTTTTTGGAGAATAGAGATTAAATGAATACCACATCTCTGACCAAGGCAACATGATGTCTGGAACTATGGTCAAATGTAAGTATGATCTTACCAGACCCAGTGTGGATTGAGAGGATTCTGTGAGATTACATGTGTAAAGAACTTTGTAGTCTAATGGCTAGCAGCAGTTATGGCTATTTCATTGTAGGAGGGAACGAACTGACAGGTAATATAAATAGGGTGAGTTGGGACTCTTACCCATTTTCACACATTTTCAATATCTTCTTTGCTGGGACATGTACAGCCTCTGGGATTTGTGTCTGTGAGCTCAGGCAGGAAGAATCCTTCCTACCACTGGCAGCTGGAATTCTGTAGGAAAGAAGGAAAAATCTCAGAGAGGTGGTAAACTCTTGTAATGGAGACCAGAAAGCCAAGCATACACTGTATTTTTCCTTGAGTCAGTGAAAAATTCCCATCTTCTTCCTTTTTAAAATTGAGAATTGGACAGACATGGTGGCTCATTCCTGTAATCCCAGCACTTTGGGAGGCCAAGGCGAGAGGATCACTTGAGCCCAGGAGTTCAAGACTAGCCTGGGCAACATAGCAAGACCTCATCTCTACAAATACTTTTTTAAAACTGAAATAATTTTAAAAATTGAAAGGTGAGTAATAGGAACAGCTCCGGTCTACAGCTCCCAGCATGAGTGATGCAGAAGACGGGTGATTTCTGCATTTCCATCTGAGGTACAGGGTTCATCTCACTAGGGAGTGCCAGACAGTGGGCGCAGGTCAGTGGGTGCGCGCACCGTGTGCAAGCCGAAGCAGGGCGAGGCATTGCCTCACTCGGGAAGCGCAAGGGGTCAGGGAGTTCCCTTTCCTAGTCAAAGAAAGGGGTGACAGACAGCACCTGGAAAATCGGGTCACTCCCACCCGAATACTGCACTTTTCCGACGGGCTTAAAAAACAGCGCATCAGGAGATTATATCCCGCACCTGGCTCGGAGGGTCCTAAGCCCATGTAGTCTCGCTGATTGCTAGCACAGCAGTCTGAGATCAAACTGCAAGGCAGCAGCGAGGCTGGGGGAGGGGCGCCCGCCATTGCCCAGGCTTGCTTAGGTAAACAAAGCAGCTGGCAAGTTCCAACTGGGTGGAGCCCACCACAGCTGAAGGAGGCCTGCCTGCCTCTGTAGGCTCCACCTCTGGGGGCAGGGCACAGACAAACAAAAAGACAGCAGTAACCTCTGCAGACTTAAATGTCCCTGTCTGACAGCTTTAAAGAGAGCAGTGGTTCTCCCAGCACGAAGCTGGGATCTGAGAACAGGCAGACTGCCTCCTCAATGGGTCCCTGACCCCTGACCCCTGAGCAGCCTAACTGGGAGGCACCCCCCAGCAGGGGCAGACTGACACCTCACACGGCAGGGTATTCCAACAGACCTGCAGCTGAGGGTCCTGTCTGTTAGAAGGAAAACTAACAAACAGAAAGGATATCCACACCAAAAAACCCATCTGTACATCACCATCATCAAAGACCAAAAGTAGATAAAACCACAAAGATGGGGAAAAAACAGAGCAGAAAAACTGGAAACTCTAAAAAGCAGAGCGCCTCTCCTTCTCCAAAGGAACGCAGTTCCTCACCAGCAATGGAACAAAGCTGGATGGAGAATGACTTTGACGAGCTGAGAGAAGAAGGCTTCAGACGATCAAATTACTCCGAGCTACAGGAGGACATTCAAACCAAAGGAAAAGAAGTTGAAAACTTTGAAAAAAATTTAGAAGAATGTATAACTAGAATAATCAATACAGAGAAGTGCTTAAAGGAGCTGATGGAGCTGAAAACCAAGGCTCGAGAACTATGTGAAGAATGCAGAAGCCTCAGGAGCCAATGCGGTCAACTGGAAGAAAGGGTATCACCGATGGAAGATGAAATGAATGAAATGAAGCGAGAAGGGAAGTTTAGAGAAAAAAGAATAAAAAGAAACGAGCAAAGCCTCCAAGAAATATGGGACTATGTGAAAAGACCAAATCTAGGTCTGATTGGTGTACCTGAAAGTGACGGGGAGAATGGAACCAAGTTGGAAAACACTCTGCAGGATATCATCCAGGAGAACTTCCCCAATCTAGCAAGGCAGGCCAACGTTCAGATTCAGGAAATAGAGAGAATGCCACAAAGATACTCCTCGAGAAGAGCAACTCCAAGACACATAATTGTCAGATTCACCAAAGTTGAAATGAAGGAAAAAATGTTAAGGGCAGCCAGAGAGAAAGGTCGGGTTACCCTCAAAGGGAAGCCCATCAGACTAACAGCAGATCTCTCGACAGAAACTTTACAGGCCAGAAGAGAGTGGGGGCCAATATTCAACATTCTTAAAGAAAAGAATTTTCAACCCAGAATTTCATATCCAGCCAAACTAAGCTTCATAAATGAAGGAGAAATAAAATACTTTACAGACAAGCAAATGCTGACAGATTTTGTCACCACCAGGCCTACCCAAAAAGAGCTCCTGAAGGAAGCACTAAACATGGAAAGGAACAACTGGTACCAGCCACTGCAAAATCATGCCAAAATGTAAAGGCCATCGAGACTAGGAAGAAACTGCATCAACTAACGAGCAAAATAACCAGCTAACATAATGACTGGATCAAATTCACACATAACAATATTAACTTTAAATGTAAATGGACTAAATGCTCCAATTAAAAGACACAGACTGGCAAACTGGATAAAGAGTCAAGACCCATCAGTGTGCTGTATTCAGGAAACCCATCTCACGTGCAGAGACACATAGGCTCAAAATAAAAGGATGGAGGAAGATCTACCAAGCAAATGGAAAACAAGAAAAGGCAGGGGTTGCAATCCTAGTCTCGGATAAAACAGACTTTAAACCAACAAAGATCAAAAAAGACAAAGAAGGCCATTACATAATGGTAAAGGGATCAATTCAACAAGAAGAGCTAACCATCCTAAATATATATGCACCCAATACAGGAGCACCCAGATTCATAAAGCAAGTCCTGAGTGACCTACAAAGAGACTTAAACTCCCACACGTTAATAATGGGAGACTTTAACACACCACTGTCAACATTAGACAGATCAACAAGACAGAAAGTCAACAAGGATACCCAGGAATTGAACTCAGCTCTGCACCAAGTGGACCTAATAGACATCTACAGAACTCTCCACCCCAAATCAACAGAATATACATTTTTTTCAGCACCACACCACACCTATTCCAAAATTGACCACATACTTGGAAGTAAAGCTCTCCTCAGCAAATGTAAAAGAACAGAAATTATAACAAACTATCTCTCAGACCACAGTGCAATCAAACTATAACTCAGGATTAAGAAACTCACTCAAAACCGCTCAACTACATGGAAACTGAACAACCTGCTCCTGAATGACTACTGGATACATAACGAAATGAAGGCAGAAATAAAGATGTTCTTTGAAACCAACGAGAACAAAGACACAACATACCAGAATCTCTGGGACGCATTCAAAGCAGTGTGTAGAGGGAAATTTATAGCACTAAATGCCCACAAGAGAAAGCAGGAAAGATCCAAATTGACACCCTAACATCACAATTAAAGGAACTAGAAAAGCAAGAGCAAACACATTCAAAAGATAGCAGAAGGCAAGAAATAACTAAAATCAGAGCAGAACTGAAGGGAATAGAGACACAAAAAACCCTTCAAAAAATTAATGAATCCAGGAGCTGGTTTTTTGAAAGGATCAACAAAATTGATAGATCGCTAGCAAGACTAATAAAGAAGAAAAGAGAGAAGAATCAAATAGACGCAATAAAAAATGATAAAGGGGATATCACCACCGATCCCACAGAAATATAAACTACCATAAGATAATACTACAAACACCTCTACGCAAATAAACTAGAAAATCTGGAAGAAATGGATAAATTTCTGGACACATGCACTCTCCCAAGACTAAACCAGGAAGAAGTTGAATCTCTGAATAGACCAATAACAGGAGCTGAAATTGTGGCAATAATCAATAGCTTACCAACCAAAAAGAGTCTAGGACCAGACAGATTCACAGCCGAATTCTACCAGAGGTACAAGGAGGAACTGGTACCATTCCTTCTGAAACTATTCCAATCAATAGAAAAAGAGGGAATCCTCCCTAACTCATTTTATGAGGCCAGCATCATCCTGATACCAAAGCCGGGCAGAGACACAACCAAAAAAGAGAATTTTAGACCAATATCCTTGATGAACATTGATGCAGAAATCCTCAATAAAATACTGGCAAACAGAATCCAGCAGCACATCAAAAAGCTTATCCACCATGATCAAGTGGGCTTCATCCCTGGGATGCAAGGCTGGTTCAATATACGCAAATCAATAAATGTAATCCAGCATATAAACAGAACCAAAGACAAAAACCACATGATTATCTCAATAGATGCAGAAAAGGCCTTTGACAAAATTCAACAACCCTTCATGCAAAAAACTCTCAATAAATTAGGTATTGATGGGACGTATTTCAAAATAATAAGAGCTATCTATGACAAACCCACAGCCAATATCATACTGAATGGGCAAAAACTGGAAGCATTCCCTTTGAAAACTGGCACAAGACAGGGATGCCCTCTCTCACCACTCCTATTCAACATAGTGTTGGAAGTTCTGGCCAGGGCAATTAGGCAGGAGAAGGAAATAAAGGGTATTCAAAGAGGAAAAGAGGAAGTCACATTGTCCCTGTTTGCAGATGACACGATTGTGTATCTAGAAAACCCCATTGTCTCAGCCCAAAATCTCCTTAAGCTGATAAGCAACTTCAGCAAAGTCTCAGGATACAAAATCAATGTACAAAAATCACAAGCATTCTTATACACCAACAACAGACAAACAGAGAGCCAAATCATGAGTGAACTCCCATTCACAGTTGCTTCAAAGAGAATAAAATACCTAGGAATCCAACTTACAAGGGCTGTGAAAGACCTCTTCAAGGAGAACTACAAACCACTGCTCAAGGAAATAAAAGAGGATAGAAAGAAATGGAAGAACATTCCATGCTCATGGGTAGGAAGAATCAATATCATGAAAATGGCCATACTGCCCAAGGTAATTTACAGATTCAATGTCATCCCCATCAAGCTACCAATGACTTTCTTCACAGAATTGGAAAAAACTACTTTAAAGTTCATATGGAACCAAAAAAGAGCCCGCATCGCCAAGTCAATCCTAAAACAAAAGAACAAAGCTGGAGGCATCACACTACCTGACTTCAAACTATACTACAAGGCTACAGTCACCAAAACAGCATGGTACTGGTACCAAAACAGAGATAAAGATCAATGGAACAGGACAGAGCCCTCAGAAATAACGCCGCATATCTGCAACTATCTGATCTTTGACAAACCTGAGAAAAACAAGCAATGGGGAAAGGATTCCCTATTTAATAAATGGTGCTGGGAAAACTGGCTAGCTGTATGTAGAAAGCTGAAACTGGATCCCTTCCTTACACCTTATACAAAAATCAATTCAAGACGGATTAAAGACTTAAAACGTTAGACCTAAAACCATAAAAACCCTAGAAGAAAACCTACGCATTACCATTCAGGACATAGGCATGGGCAAGGACTTCATGTCTACAACACCAAAAGCAATGGCAACAAAAGACAAAATTGACAAATGAGATCTAATTAAACTAAAGAGCTTCTGCACAGCAAAAGAAACTACCATCAGAGTGAACAGGCAACCTACAAAATGGGAGAAAATTTTTGCAACCTACTCATCTGACAAAGGGCTAATATCCAGAATCTACAATGAACTCAAACAAATTTATGAGAAAAAACAAACAACCCCATCAAAAAGTGGGCGAAGGACATGAACAGACACTTCTCAAAAGAAGACATTTATGCAGCCAAAAAACACATGAAAAAATGCTCACCATCACTGGCCATCAGAGAAATGCAAATCAAAACCACAATGAGATACCATCTCACACCAGTTAGAATGGCAATCATTAAAAAGTCAGGAAACAACAAGTGCTGGAGAGGATGTGGAGAAATAGGAACACTTTTACACTGTTGGTGGGACTGTAAACTAGTTCAACCATTGTGGAAGTCAGTGTGGCATTTCCTCAGGGATCTAGAACTGGAAATACCATTTGACCCAGCCATCCCATTACTGGGTATAGACCCAAAGGACTATAAATCATGCTGCTATAAAGACACATGCACATGTATGTTTATTGCGGCATTATTCACCATAGCAAAGACTTGGAACCAACCCAAATGTCCAACAATGATAGACTGGATTAAGAAAATGTGGCACATATACACCATGGAATACTATGCAGCCATAAAAAATGATGAGTTCATGTCCTTTGTAGGGACATGGATGAAATTGGAAATCATCATTCTCAGTAAACTATCACAAGAACAAAAAACCAAACACCGCATATTCTCACTCATAGGTGGGAATTGAACAACGAGAACACACGGACACAGGAAGGGGAACATCACACTCTGGGGACTGTTGTGGGGTGGGGGGAGGGGGGAGGGATAGCATTGGGAGATATACCTAATGCTAGATGACGAGTTAGTGGGTGCAGCGCACCAGCATGGCACATGTATACATATGTAACTAACCTGCACATTGTGCACATGTACCCTAAAACTTAAAGTATAATAATAATAAATAAATAAATTAAAAAAATTGAAAGGTGAGGAAATAGGTTTTAAATTTTTTAAAATTTAGTAATAATTATAGATCCATAAGAAGTTGCAGAGATAATACAGAGGTCCTATGCACCCTTCACCAATTTCCCCTATTGCTTACATCTTAGGTGGCTATAGCTCAATATCAAAATCATATTGGTATAAAGGGTGTATATAGTTCTAATTTATTTAATCACATGTGTAGTTTCACCAGCAAAATTAAGATACAAAATGAAACACTTTATTTTAGCTGTTTTACTCTTTTCAAGAGGCAGTCTTATAAAAAGAGTTCACATTACTATGAATATTAGTTTTAGTAATTATACTTCAATTTTCACAACTGGAGGCAGGGTTTTGACATCATAATTCAGGATTTTTGTAAGATTCTGAACATCTCTTCTATTGCTGCAATGTGCTTCTCCTTTCCTCTTTGTAAATCTGGTCATCATATGTAGATACTTTAGGAAGTAGCTTTACATTCTAATTCAGTTCTTCTCCTCTGTCATCATTTATGATTGCATTGGAGGAAATGTATGTGTTTTACAAAAGGCAAAATGTGCTGAAGAAAGAACCAAATGGTGAAACAGATCCCATTTAGAAAGCCATAAACAAGCTTACAGCAGTAAGTGGTGACATGAATAAATTGCTTTTGCAGGAAAATTCAGACTTAATATCATTACTAAGCTACAGCTGAAAGGCATAACTATATTTCAAATGGTAGTAATGACTGGCACCATTGGATTAGAAATGATTTCATGATGGCATCATAATGATTTATTTTCTTTTAAAGAGAGAAACTTGGAATCTCATCATGGTAGTTAGAAAAATAAAAATTCAATGATGATATAACTGTACTGTATTCTTTGCCAGGTTTTCCTCTGGTCTTTAATACAAATATGTCAAGATTTAAGAGACGAATTCTCACAGTTTTAGTGTGGTTACAGTTCCTAGTTTCTCATAAGGCATAATTGTGACATTCATAGTTCAACAAAATGTTGAACTTCCTAGATCTGCAGGCTGGTGACTGCTATTGTAACCAATAATTGTATCCATAAAATGAATTCTTCACAATAAATAGAGAACAAAGCTTTGTTGAAATTGAGAGGCTGGGTGGGCATCTGTACTCACTAACTATACTAGCAAAGGGTCTGGCTCTGGCACCCAGCCTAGCATTAATTAGCAGCATTTTGCTGAGTGTGTTTCATAAAATAGGATTGTCTCAGAAGATGCTTTCTATGAAAAGAATTCTGTTTTTTACACTACAACAAAGACATTATTGCTGTTAATACAGATTTTCCCATATCTTTACCAATGTCTTGTCTTAGCATTCTCCCTTACATCTTAGTTCTTTTAGGGATCATTTTTTCTTTGCTTTGACATTCTTCTCTTAGAATTTTTTGTTTTTTAAGAAAATAGATCTTTTAGTTTGTTAGAAATGTGCTAATTTCACATTGGAAGATGTTTCACTGGCTATACAACTCTAGGTTGACAGTTATTTTCTCTTAGCATTTTGAAGATATTATCCCATCTTCTGATGGTCTCAATCAAATTGTCATTTGTTTTAAGTTACCTAGTGTTTTTGTTTTTTTTCCTCTATCACCTTTTAAGAATCTCTCTTTTCTTTGGCAATCTGCAGTTTCATTGCGTATCTAAATGTCTTTTTTTTTTTCCTTTATCTTATTTGTCTCTTATCAGGACACTGAATCTAAAGGTTTGTGTTTTTATTTTTTCTGCAAAATTCTCAATGTCATTTTGAATTGTGTCTTTCCCCAATTCTATTATCCTCCTCAGGAAATTTGATTAGAGATTTGTTAGACTTAGCCTCCATGTTCACTGATTTTATTCTGTCCAATCAGCTGTTAAAGTCTAATCTACTGTTTAGTCCATTGAGTTTCTAATTATTTTTACAAGTTCTTTGGTTCATTTTTTATTTAGCCTGGTCATTTTTCATAGTCTTTTACTTCTTAATAATACTTAAAGAGTCTCTTATTTCCTTAAGCAAATTAAACATACCTATTTTATATCCTGCATATAGTAATTTCTACTCCTATAATCTTAGTGGGTCTAACATGTATTGGTGGTGTTTTTTTTTTCCTTTCATTCTATTGACTCTTGCTCATGGTGGTTTATTTCCTCACTTAATATGATAGTTTAAATTTTGATCTCACATTCCTTGGAATTTGGGCTGTGGAATTTTTTTGAAGCTCAAGTTTAAAGTGTTTTTCCTTAGATATGATTTATTTTTGCTTCTATCAGTCACCTAGGAGCACTACATAACCAGAACCAGTTCAAATTAAATCCTGAGCTCTGGGTTTTCCAAGGGCATTGAATTCTTTGAAATCCATCCCCAAATCCATGTAAAGGCTTCTTTGTGGTTTTGAATTCTCAGGGAAACATTTTCCCAAACCCATCCACCAAGAGCCAAGTTTAAGATAGCAAACATCTGTTTTATATTTCTCTCTGCTGGGTGTTTTGTTATTTAATCAATACATTATGAATTATAAATAATTTTATAATAAATAATTTTATAATTAATCGTAACATTTTTACCTTTTCACCCAAAGAGTCACTTTGCAAGGTTTTTGGTTCATACAGGAATCTCTGGTCCAAACCTTCTTCTTTGAGCAGGCTTTGCCTTCTTTGATCCTCTAAACAGATATGGTCCATTAAGGCCCAAGCTCTAGGCCACCAGCAGATGTTGGATGCTCTCAAAGCAGCTTCCAGTGACAGTACTTTGTTTACTCTATGTGGCCATACCTTCTCATGGTTAGGGCTCCATTTCTTGCCAGCTCAGTTATTTACTTAAAGATCAAATATTGTATCCATTTTTTTTTTTTTGACAGAGTTTTGCTCTTGTTGCCCAGGTTGGAGTGCAGTGGTGCAATCTCAGCTCACTGCAACCTCTGACTCCTGGGTTCAATCGATCCTCCTGCCTCAGCCTCCCGAGTAGCTGGGATTACAGGCACATGCCACCACGCCTGGCTAATTTTGTATTTTTAGTAGAAACGGGGTTTCACCATGTTGGTCAGGCTGGTCTCAAACTCCTGACCTCTGGTGATCCACCCGCCTCGGCCTCCGAAAGTGCTGGGACTACAGGCATAAGTGACCACGCCCAGCCTGTATCCATCATTTCTAATTGTTCTATATTAGGAAGGTTTTTGTGATGGCTTCTTTGCCGTATTACCTAGAACAGAATTCAGAATTGCATTTAAACATAGAAAGAAAACTACCTCAGGAACAAAGGACAATAAAATAGCCAAGTAAATTGAATGATGGAATTGAGGAAAGAGAGGTAGAGGCAAGTTCATAGTATGAACAATAAATATGTATTTATTGTTCATAGTAGAAGGCAAGATATGTATTTAAAATGAAATTAAACATATGTGAAATTATAAAGGTAAGCATTGTAAACCATAAAAAAGATGATACACCTTTCAAATTATTAGGAGGAAAATGCATGCAAAAAAGCAAAGTAAAGTGAACACAGACAGAGCCTAAAAGACAAAAGAATACATAAGTTTAAGAAAATACTTCCAAATAAACAAAGCACAGTAAACCAGACAATGTAATAAAACATAAAAGTCAAGGGTAACTAAATGTCAGAATTAAGATATGATGGCAGAATGAAAATACACAATAAAGATAAATCTTATGGACTCACCTAGGAAAATACTTTTAGAATAAGTCACAAATAAAAATTCAACTTTCAGCAGAACTGAATAAATGCTTCTAAAACAAAGTGTCTCAGATGGTTGAAAGGAAAAAGATAAATACACTGTAGCATGCCTATGAAAACACAAAATTATGTAGGGGCTATAATATCAGACAAGATTGAATTCACAGCAAAGAAATATTACATAAAACTAAGAAGGCATTGTATAATGACAAATGCTGTAATTCACAGGAAGGTACAATAATCATAAATACTTATCTACTAAATAGCATAGCATAAAGATTCCTAAGGTAAAACTTTAACATATACAAAGATAAATGGATACACAGAATATAATAATAGATGTACATGTGTCGTCTTCTTCAAGTAGATCAAAATAAGTAAAAAGGGTTATTTCCTTTTTTGGTGAGTTATTTGAGTTCCTTGTAGATTCTGGATATTAACCATTTGTCAGATGCATAGTTTGCAAATATTTTTTTCTCATTCTATAGGTTGTCTGTTTAGTCTGTTGACTGTTACAGAATGGCTATTATTAAAAAGTCAAAGTGGGCAGAGCCCACCGCAGCGCCACAAAGCCGCTGTAGCCAGACTGCTTCTCTGGATTCCTCCTCTCTGGGCAGGGCAACTCTGAAAGAAAGGCAGCACCCCCAGTCAGGGGCTTATAGATAAAACTCCCATCTCCCTGGGACAGAGCACCTGGGGGAAGGGGTGGCTGTGGGCGCAGCTTCAGCAGACGTAAATGTTCCTGCCTGCTGTCTATAAACAGAGCAGTGGATCTCCCAGCATAGCACCTGAGCTCTGCTAAGGGACAGACTCTCTCCTCAAGTGGGTCCCTGACCCCCATGCCTCCTGTCTGGGAGACACCTCCCAGCAGGGGTCAACAGACACCTCATAGAGGAGAGCTCTGGCTGGCATCTGGCAGGTGACCCTCTGGGACAAAGCCTCCAGAGGAAGGAACAGGGAGCAATCTTTGCTGTTCTGCAGCCTCCATTGGTGATACCCAGGAAAACAGGGTCTGGAGTGGACCTCCAGCAAACTTCAGCAGACCTACAGCAGAGGGGCCTGACTGTTAGAAGGAAAACTAACAAATAGAAAGCAATAGCATCAACATCAACAAAGAGGACATCCACACAGAAACCTCACTTGAAGGTCACCAACATCAAAGACCAAAGGTAGATAAATCCACAAAGATGAGGAAAAACCAGTGCAAAAAGGCTGAAAATTCCAAAAACCAGAACAACTCTTCTCCACCAAAGGATCACAAGTCCTCGCCAGCAAGGGAACAAAACTGGAGGGAGAATGAGTTTGCCAAATTGACAGAAATAGGCTTCAGAAAGTACGTAATAACAAACTCCTCCAAGCTAAAGAAGCACGTTCTAACCCAACGCAAAGAAGCTAAGAACCTTGAAAAAAGGTTAGAGGAATTGCTAACTAGAATAACCAGTTTAGAGAACACTATAAATGACATGATGGAACTGCAAAACACAGCACGAGAACTTCATGAAGCATACATAAATATCAATAGCTGGATCAATCAAGAGGAACAAAGGATATCAGAGATTGAAGATCAACTCAATGAAATAAAGCATGAAGACAAGATTAGAGAAAAAAGAATGAAAAGGAATGAATAAAGCCTCCAAGAAATATGGGACCATGTGCGATCATTAAAAAGTCAGGAAACAACAGTAGCTGGAGAGGATGTGGAGAAATAGGAACACTTTTACACTGTTAGTGGGACTGTAAACTAGTTCAACCATTGTGGAAGACAGTGTGGCGATTCCTCAAAGATCTACAACTAGAAATACCATTTGACCCAGTGATCCCATTACTGGGTATATACCCAAAGGATTATAAATCATGCTGCTATAAAGATACATGCACACGTATGTTTATTGCGGCACTATTCACAATAGCAAAGTCTTGGAACCAACCCAGATGTCCATCAGTGATAGACTGGATTAAGAAAATGTGGCACATATACACCATGGAATACTATGCAGCCATAAAAAATGATGAGTTCATGTCCTTTGTAGGGATATGGATGAAGCTGGAAACCATCATTCTCAGCAAACTATCACAAGGACAAAAAACCAAACACCACATGTTCTCACTCATAGCTGGGAATTGAACAATGAGAACACATGGACACAGGAAGGGGAACATCACACACTGGGGCCTGTTGTGGGGTGGGAGGAGCGGGGAGGGATATCATTAGGAGATATACCTAATGTAAATGATGAGTTAACGGGTGCAGCACACCAACATGGCACATGTATACATATGTAACAAACCTACACATTGTGCGCATGTACTCTAGAACTTAAAGTATAATAAAAAATATTAAAAAAAAAAATGGGACCATGTGAAAAGACCAAACCTACGTTTGATTGGTGTACTTGAAAGTGACGGGGAGAATGGAACCAAGTTGGAAAACACTCTTCAGGATATTATCCAAGAGAATTTAGCAAGACAGACCAACATTCAAATTCAGGAAATACAGAGAACACCACAAAGATACTCAAGAAGAGCAACCCCAAGACACATAATCATCAGATTCACCAAGGTTGAAACGAAGGAAAAAATGTTAAGGGCAGCCAGAGAGAAAGGTCGGATTACCCACAAAGGGAAGCCCATCAGACTAACAGCAGATCTCCCCACAGAAACCCTAAAAGGTAGAAGAGAGGGGGGCCAATATTCAACATTCTTAAAGAAAAGAATTTTCAACCCAGAATCTCAAATCCAGCCAAACTAAGTTTCATAAGTGAAGGAGAAATAAAATCCTTTACAGACAAGCAAATGCTGAGAGATTTTGTCACCACTAGGCCTGCCTTACAAGAGCTCCTGAAGGAAGCACTAAATATGGAAAGGAACAACCGGTACCAGCCACTGCAAAAACATCACCACTATGAAGAAACTGCATCAAGTAATGGGCAAAATAACCAGCTAGCATCATAATGACAGGATCAAATTCACACTTAACAATATTAACCTTAAATGTAAATGGGCTAAATGCCCCAATTAAAAGACACAGACTGGCAAATGGGATAGAGTCGAGACCCATCAGTGTGCTATATTCAGGAGACACATGTCATGTGCAAAGGCACATATAGGCTCAAAATAAAGGGACAGAGGAATATTTACCAAGCAAATGGAAAGAAAAAAAAAAAAAAACAGGGGTTGCAATCCTAGTCTCTGATGAAACAGACTTTAAACCAACAAAGATCAAAAAAGACAAAGACAGGCATTACATAATGGTAAAGGGATCAATGCAACAAGAAGAGCTAACTATCCTAAATATATATGCACCCTATACAGGAGCACCCAGATTCATAAAGCATGTTCTTAGAGACCTACAAAGAGACTTAGACTCTCACAAAATAATAGTGGGAGACTTTAACACCCTACTGTCAATATTAGACAGATCAATGAGACAGAAAATTAACAAGGATATTCAGGACTTGAACTCAACTCTGGACCAAGCGGACCTAATAGACATCTGCAGAACTCTCCAACCCAAATCAACAGAGTATACATTCTTCTCAGCACCACGTGGCACTTATTCTAAAAATGACCACATAATTGGAAGTAAAACACTTCTCAGCAAATGCAAAATAATGGAAATCATAACAAACAGTCTCTCAGACCACAGTGCAATCAAATTAGAACTCAGATAAAGAAACTCACTCAAAACCGCACAACTACATGAAAACTGAACAACCTGCTCCTGAATGACTACTGGGTAAATAATGAAATGAAGGCAGAAATAAATAAGTTCTTTGAAACCAATGAGAACAAAGGCACAACATACCAGAATCTCTGGGACACAGCTAAAGCAGTGTTTAGGGGGAAATTTATAGCGCTAGATGCCAACAGGAGAAAGCAGGAAAGATCTAAAAATTGTCACCCTAACATCACGATTAAAGGAACTAGAGAAGCAAGAGCAAACACATTCAAAAGCTAGCAGAAGACAAGAAATAACTAAGATCAGAGCAGAACTGAAGAAGATAGAGACATGAAAAGCCCTTCAAAAAATCAATGAATCCAGAAGCTGGTTTTTTGAAAAGATTAACACAACAGATAGATGGTTAGCCAGACTAATGAAGAAAAGAGAGAAGAATCAAATAGACACAATAAAAAATGATGAAGAGGATATCACCACCGATCCCACAGAAATACAAACTACCATCAGAGAATACTATAAACACCTCTATGCAAGTAAACTAGAAAATTTAGAAGAAATGGATAAATTCCTGTACATGTACACTCTCCCAAGACTAAACCAGGAAGAAGTCAAATCCCTCAATAGACCAATAACAAGTTCTGAAATTGAGGCAGTAATTAATAGCCTACCAACCAAAAAAAGCCCAGGACCAGACGGATTCACAGCCCAGTTCTAAAAGAGAAGCTGGTACCATTCCTTCTGAAACTATTCCCAACAATAGAAAAAGAGGGACTCCTCCCTAGCTCATTTTATGAGGCCAGCATCATCCTGATACCAAAACCTGGCACAGACACAACAAAAAAAGAAAATTTCAGGCCAATATACCTGATGAACATTGATTTGAAAATCCTCAATAAAATATTGGCAAACCGAATCCAGCAGCACATCAAAAAGCTTATCCAGCATGATTAGGTTGGCTTCATCCCTGAGATGCATACATACATATGTATGTATATATATATGTATATATGTGCGTATATATGTATATATATACATATATATACACACACACAGAACAGATGCCTCAGAAATCATGCCACACATCTACAACCATCTCATCTTTGACAAACCTGACAAAAACAAACAATGGGGAAAGGATTCCCTATTTAATAAATGGCATTATGAAAACTGGCTAGCCGTCTGCAGAAAACTGAAACTGGAACCCTTCCATACACATTATACAAAAATTAACTCAAGATGGATTAAAGACTTAAATGTATGACCTAAAACTATAAAAACCCTAGAAGAAAACCTAGGCAATACCATTCAGGACATAGGCATCAGCAAAGACTTCATGACTAAAACACCAAAAGCATGGCAACAAAAGCCAAAATTGACAAATGGGATCTAATTAAACTAAAGAGTTTCTGCACAGCAGAAGAAACTATCATCATAGTGAAAAGGCAGCCTACAGAATGGGAGAAAATTTTTGCAATCTATCCATCTGACAAAGGGCTAATATCCAAAATCTACAAGGAACTTAAACAAATTTACAAGAAAATAACAACCCCATCAAAAAGTGGGCAAACAATATGAACAGCCACTTCTCAGAAGAAGACATTTATACAGCCAACAAACATACGAAAAAAAAAAAAAGCTCATCATCACTGGTCATTAGAGAAATGCAAATCAAAACCACAGTAAGATACCATCTCATGCCAGTTAGAATGACGATCATTAAAAAGTTAGGAAACAACAGATGCCGGAGAGGATGTGGAGAAATGGGAACACTTTTACACTGTTGGTGGGAGTGTAAATTAGTTCAACCATTGTGGAAGACAGTGTAGCGATTCCTCAAGGATCTAGAACCAGAAATACCGTTCGACCCAACCATCCCATTACTGGGTATATACCCAAAGGATTATAAATCATTCTACTATAAAGACACATGCACACATATGTTTATCGTTTATCGCGGCACTGTTCACAATAGCAAAGACTTGGAACCAACCCAAATGCCCATCAACGATAGACTGGATAAAGAAAATGTGGCACATATATACCATGGAATACTATGTAGCCATAAAAAGGATGAGTTTATGTCCTTTGCAGGGACATGAATGAAGCTGGAAGCCATCATTTTCAGCAAACTAACACAGGAACAGAAAACCAAACACCACGTGTTCTCACTCGTAAGTGGGAGTTGAACAATGAGAACACATGGACACAGGGAGGGGAACATCATACACCGTGGCCTGTCAGGGGGTGGGGGGCTAGGGGAGAGATAGCATTAGGAGGAATACCTAATTTAGAGGACGGGTTGATGGGTGCAGCAGACCACCATGGCACATGTATACCTATGTAACAAACCTGCACATTCTACACATGTATCCCAGAACTTAAAGTATTAAAAAAAAAAAAGTCAAAAAATGCAGATGCTGGCAAGTATGCAGAGAAAAGGAAATGCTTATACTCTCTTGGTGGGAATGCAGATTAGTACAGTCTTTATGGAAAATAGTATGAAGGTTTCTCAAAGAACTAAACATAGAACTACTATTCAATTCAGCAATCCCACTACTGGGTATATACCCAAAAGGAAGTAAATCGTTATCAAAAAGGTACCTGCACTCGTATTTCTAGCACAGCACTATTTATAATAGCAAAGAATCAACCTAAGTTTCCATCAACGATAATTAGATAAAGGAAATGTGGCATACATATACCATGAAACACTACCGAGCCATAAAAAAGAATCATGTCTTTTGCAGCAACATGAATGGAACTACAGGCCATTATCTTAAGTGAAAGAACTCAGAAACAAAGTCAAAACCTCATGTTCTAACTTGTAAGTAGAAGTTAAACAAAGGATAAACATGGACATCTAGAGTGGAATAATGGGCACTGGAGACTAAAAAAAGATGCAGAAGGTGAAGGTTGAAAAATTACCTATTGGTCATAATGTCCACTGTTCAGGTGATGACTACGCTAAAAACAGACTTTGCCATTAGGCAATACATACATGTAAGAAATCTGCACTTGTACCCCCTGTATCTATAAGAATAAAAATATATTTTAAAAAAGAAAAGTGAAAATATAAAATATTTAAAAATTAAGAGTAGATATTATTGATATAAATTACACACCATACAGGGATTATACCTTCTTTTTAAACACACATAGACTTTTTGGGGAAAAGTATTTTACTTCAGAATGAAAAATGATCAGCTTCCACACCATTCACTGCAAAGTACACAGTATTCACAAATACAATGCTGGTTATTTGAGGAAATGTAGTCACACCTCAATTTCTCCTTCACGGTTTTTCTTTTCAAAAGATCTGTTTACCAAGAAGAAACAGTACAGGAAAAATTACTTTTTCAATAAACTTACAAAAATCTAAAATTTCCAAAGGAATCAAGACTGACTTCCCACTACCACCACCTTAATATCATCACATCCTTATTGGGATGCTAATATTCACATCCAAAGCATACATTTACTTTCAACAACGGGGTCGCATCTTAAAAAAACTGGATCTTTGCAAGTATTCAGTGTCTGAAATAGACAGCTAATACTGGATTTAATATTATTTTATAAAAATACTCTCCTTAGCAGTAAATGTAGGTCTGCACATTCACAATAGTCCTAGAAAATAAATACTGTAATTACTTACAATATGTTATGACAAACTAGTTTCAAGAAACAAAAGTTTAACATCTTGCTAAAAATTCTGATCAGAATAAAATGAATACACATAGAACTTCTTAAGGAATGAACATTTATTAGGAGATAAAAATCGTAATGCACTTCAAAACACAAGTTTTGTTTTATTTATTTTATCCACAGTAAAATAAAATTAGTGATAAATACCTAAATTATAAAAAATTTTTAAATGTTAGGAGCTAAATGAAGATTTTAATCTCTTTTACAACACTGTCAGGTGAGAGAAGAAATCCAAACAACATACTAAAAACAATATATACTGAAACCTGAAGGAGGCAAAAAAGGTGATCAGAGGAAAAATCAAATTTCAAAGAAAAACTGTCAAATAAGAAGGAACAAGAACAAATTAAACATTCAAAATAAGAAATTGTCATCACCAATAAAATAAACTTGAGGAAATCAGAATGAAGAAACTAGTAAATAAAGTGTGAAATTCCTAAATAGCTACAAAAAAGAGTGAAATGAATGAATTTTAAAAATTGCGCTTTTTAAAAGGTTAATTAGATAGGTAAACCATTAACATAAGTTTTTAAATGGCAAGAGATGGAGAAAGCGAAAATATTTAAAATGAGAAATTAAGTTGAGAACCTTAGTGCAGATATTTAAAATGTGTCTTTGCTTATCTTCATGCATATGGATTTTAAAAATCTAAAAAAAATGGTTGACATTTCTAGAAACTTAAATCACCAAAAGTGACTTCAAAAGGGATAGAAAATCTAGGGCATTTCAGAGAAATTATAAAAGTTGTTCAAAAGTTGCAGGCATCAGGCCCAGATTATATTACACCTGAAGCCTACCCAAAATGTCAACGCAATGTTCAGAAAATTTCAATGCTATTGAAATGATTCTAGCAGAGATCGAAGAAAAACTTTTATTTTTTGTATGTACCCATCAAAATAATTATATCAAAACTTGACAGGATACTAAATGTGTGTGTGTGTGAGTGTGTGTGTGTATGTGTGTGCATGTGTGTGTGTATGTGTGTGTATCAGTCATTTTGTGAATATTGATCCAAAATAATATATTAGCCAACAGAATCCAACATTGCTTTAAAAGAATACATCATAACCAAGACAAAAAATTAAGATTATTAGAAAAATTACTAATATAATTTATGTTTCTATTATATCAGAAGAGAAAATTTATATTATTATGCTCAGAAAGGGTATGAAGGTATTTAAGTTCAAAATCCATTGTTGGTTTTAAAAGACTCTTGATAAAAAAATAATAAATAGATATTTTTAATATCCATCTAATTGACAGCCAAAACCTGCATTGTGCTGAGTGGTGAAACTACTCAAAATATTTTCAACAGGAGAAAGACAATGATGTCCACCATTACAATGATTACTTCTCATTGCTTTAGAGGTTATAAATGTGGAATTGGAAAGGAAAAAAAATACAAAGGTTTGAAGAGATGACACAGAATTATCATTATTTACATATATGATTAAATTTTACAGCTGGAAAACACCACAAACAATAAAATAACATTAATGCAAACAAACCAATTATTTTCCTATGTATAAGTGAAAGTTACATTAAAATATAAAGGGATAAAGGTAGTATTTGTCATAGGAACAAAATGATAAAATGTAATACGAGTAAATTTAAGAAATGTTCAAGACATATATAAAGGGACTTTAAAAGAATGAAGGATAAAACAAGAATTGAAGAAATATAATGATATACCTTTTATTGGATAAGAAGACTCAATATTTTGAAGGCAGCAAATCTCTCTGTATTTACCTATACATTAATTTTATTCCAATGAAATTACTTCACAGATAATTTTTAGAGTAGGGAGCAATTTAGAAACACATAAATTTCTGACGTGACATTAGTTCTACAAGGTACTAAATGCTATATTAATTAAAACACACTTTTACTGGCACATAGAAACAAAACACAATAGACCAAAGGAAGAGTTGAGATGTATACCAAAATCCTCATGGTAATGTGGCTTGTTATCAAAGAAGTATTTCAAAACCATGCCCAAACAAATTTACTTAATAACTAGTCATGAACAATTGCCTAGTCTTCTGGAAAAATAATGAATTAATTCTTACTTCAGATGGATTTATACCAAGATGAAATCAAATATCAGAGATTTAATCACTACAAAAGGAAATTCTAAAAGTACTGAAAGAAATTATGTGAGAATTTAAAAATTAATCTTGTAATGAGAGAAGCCTTTCTAAGCATGGCACAAAGCTTAGAAGCCATAAAAGGTGATAAATTTGCCTACATAAAAATTAAACATTGTCTGCATAGCAATAGAATACTATAAATTCAATGGCATTGACAAAGCAGGAAGAATATTTGTAATATGCTATATATAATAAAGGGCTATCTTTCTTATTATATGAAGAGTTCTTATGAATCAATTAGAAAAAATATTTTAAAACCAGTAAGGAAATGGGAGGATGACATGAGCAGGCAGTTTATAGAAAAATAAGTTCAAACAACTTATAATGAATTAAAGTTCAATTAAATGAAATGAAGATATTTTCAGCCTTGTCAACCATTAAATAAATGTTTATTAAAATAACATAATATGTAATTTAAACCTATCAGATTGACATACTAAAACATGCCTGTATGATTGTATTTGCACATTATCTCTCCAGGGTGAATAATCTCAGATGTTAACAGTATTTGCCTCTCTGTAAGGTAACCAGGGAACAAGGATGAGATGAGCATGTACTTTTTACGGCATATTATACTGTATGTTTAACTTTTTAAACTATGTGTGTATCACTTTTATAGAATAAAATAATATTTTAAAATATAAATTGAAGCCAGAAAAATTAAATAGATTAATTAATGTCACACAACAAACTGCAGATGTTTCATTAAAGCCTAGGACTGTATGATTTGGACTAAAGTGCTATATGATTTGGACAAAAGTGCTATATGATTTGGACAAAAAGTATATTGTTGACATTAATTTGCATTATTCTTTCTAAGCTTTTATCAGAGAATCCAACATGACAAGGATAATGTGTACATGAGCTATCTTGTGAAGAAGATCTGTGGGAACACTTGTTGAGAGGTTGATATTTTTATTCTCTGCACTGTTTTCTATTTTTGTATTTTACTAATAGAGATAGGAAGCAACTTGTGACACCTTTGTTTTTAACAAGCATCTCTGACAGAGCTAGGGTTTTAAAAAGTCTTCTTTTTAAAGCTTTTTAAAGCCTTTTTTCATCAGTAAAATTAGTGCTGTGTGTGTGAATAAGTGTGTGTAATCATTACTCAAGCTTCAGACTATTAAATTACAAAACCTGAATTGAGGGTAAGAGTATATTTTGTTCTATTTAGTTGCAGTGAACTAAGGGACTCAAGGAATTTATCTCTGGAACATAAAAAACACCTCTGTTGAAGCTGAACCAGAGAATTTACTTTTTTCTTCTTTTTCTTCTTCTTTTTTCAAATCACAGAATCCACTTACTAAAATTGTGCCTCACAGAGCATTGACCTTTAGACTATAATGGCTGCCTCCGGGCCATTACAACTTATAGTGCAATACCTTCTAATCTTCCAACCTACAAGTAAAGGTTATGAAGTTTTAGAGCACAAAGTACCTAACTCTTTGCTTGTAAATTCACTTTCTCCACCAAAATCCAAAACAATTAGCCTATTTGGGGGACTTTTAGTATATGGAATGACATTTTTTAAAAACCAAATTTATCTTTGAGTAGAAAAGGGGATTTTAAAAAGGTATAATATTCTAGGATAATGGTTTGACTAAAACCCTAAAGGCCACCAGATAAGACCTCCTGCTCTGATGAGGATTCCTGGATTGTTCTCTGAGTTTATAGGGAGAGGAATGGAGGACTAGGTTTTGTTTGGTGTAATCTATCTTTCTCTGTGAAAATGCACATCAAAATTTAAGTAAGTAGTGAGAATATCACTAATTTTTTTCTTCTGCTTATGTTTTCTAAAGTTTAAGTCAACAAACATATATTAATTACATTTAAAGTTTAAATGCAACTTTTTGTAAAATTTGGAAAATACAAACACAATAAGGATGAAAAATAGACTTACCATATAAGTTTTCTTGGTTTTCTATCAATATTTTCTGTATAACATATATAAGCGCCTAAGTACTTTAAAAACTCTCAATAGCAGAGCCATCAAAAGGGTGTAAGATTTTTCTCTCATGTTAAAATCCAGACGTAGGGTGTCCAAGACTAGATAGTGGATCTGTTACATAAAGTACTTAGGAAATTGGGTCCCTTCCACCTTTTGGTTCCTCTATGCATGATCCATTCTCACTTAATGATCCAAGAAAGAAGCCCCAGCCATCACATTCACTTTCTAGCCGGCACGGTCAAGGAAAGGGAAAAAAGAACGTGGCTCTTCCTTTTAACAAGTAAACATACCACTTCCACTTACTTGCTAATCTCCAGAACCTGGTCACATGACTACACATCCTTTTGCAATGAGAGCTGGGAAATAATTTTTATTTTTTTTTTGGATGGCATCACCAACTAAAAATCCCATCTTACGTTTTCAGCTTGCTAAATCCCATTGCTCCTATTAGTGGTGCACATTCTCATACTACTGTTAACATGGGAGGTGTATTTTTGAGATTTTCTCTTTGTTCTACCCTGATTTATAAAATCGTAAGATGAAGATCAGCCTTAAGATAAAGACTTATAAATAATGAGAAAAATTTTTAGAAGAATGTAAATCATCAAAATCGACTCAAAATGAAATAGAATATAATAAATAACTTCTAATAAGTTTAATTTATCATTGTCTATTTATCACCAACTTTCCTATGTTCAAGAAAAGACATTCAGCCCAAACAGGTAAACTCTCTGATTTTAAATAATGTCTATTTTATATATACTGTCTCAGACACTAGAAAAAGAGGACTGGCACTCCACTCACTGCATGAGGCTAATAAAACCTGTATGCCAGAACTTGTGAAAGAGCATAACAAAGTAAAATCAGATTTGGAAAGCAGTTATGAATCTAACTGAAGCTTATAAGATGTCAGAAAAAATGTGAATTTTTTACTGAATTTATAGGCTAATCTGGGTGGATTTCTCTTTATATACAAGAAGGTGAGTATTAACAGTTTGAATTTTTGTTTGAAGTTTTTTCTCTTTCCATTTTTCCTTCTCCATTGTTTTGGGAGTTAAACATTCTATATCTATTCATTTAATGGTTACACGTGCTGTTCTAACACAGATGCCTAACAAACCTTAATGTTAATGAGTCCTGTCTCCTAACTTCACCCAATATTCCATGGTCCATCATTAAAATCGCTGACTAGCATAAATCCTGAACCCTCTTGTCCCTCTCTAGTTTTAACAAACATCGACCCTGATAAATTCCAAATTTTTTTGTATTCCCATGTACTTCTGTATAGTTGAATTTGGCTGGAGAAAAATATAGTCATATTGACTGGTCTCATTTTATATTTATGATTGTTAGCTTTAAGAGTGTTGTTTATGCTGCCTGGCAGTCATAATACTTGCCATGACCATTTTCCTAGGTTACTATTTTATATTTTCTCCTTTTTTTCCCCCAAACCTCCAGCACATCCCTCCCCATCCTCACTCTCAATAATGACCTTGCTTCCTATTTCACTGAAAAAATAGAAGCAATCAGAATATACCTTCCCAACCCTCCTAATGCCACTCTACCCACCTCCTTGTATCTAGATTAACCTGTTTTTCTTCCTGTCATGAATGAATAGTTTGTTCTAAGGCCATCCTTTTGCATGTCACCTCTTGTCTACTCAGGAACATTTCTCCAACAAATTTTCTCTCTTCCCAGCATCATCATTTCCCCCACCCATGACTGCATCATTTGAATCTTGACCCTCTTAATCAATTCTCTGTTTAGCAATCAGCATGCTGTCTATTAAATCAAAACATTTTACTCACATCTTATCATCTTCCAATGACTTTCCTTCATACTTGGGATAGCATTCAAACTCCTTAACCTAGCTTGCAAAGTCCTCTAGTTTGGATGTACGAAGGAAAGCTATTGGAGGATGATTTGCACTAAGCTTAGAAAAATCTACATCTATGGTAAATAAAACAACAGAGCCACGCATGGTGGCACTCACCTGGTCTGGCTCCTACCTATCTGCTGAAACTCATCTTGCACCACACTCCCTCTGTTCACTATATTCTGGTAACAGTGGCCTCCTGAAACTTACCAAACTTCTCCCCACCCTATGGCTTTATTCCAGTTTTCCTATCCACTTGTAAGGTTCTTTCTGTGATATTCATATGAGTGTCTCCCTTGAATATGGAAATTCATATATTGGCTCAAGGCCAAGTTCAGAGAGAAGTTTCCATTGACCATCCAATCCAAAGGAGGAAATCTCTATCATGTCTCATTATTTTTTAATTTTTAGCGTAGCGCTTATCATACAGTGGGTGATATCGTTTTTACTTATTATTTTTCAATTTTTATCTCTCCCTGCTAAACTTTTACTCCATTATAGCATAAGTTTTCCCCTGCTATATATCCATAGCACTGTATCCTTCATACATAGAATAGTATTTTATATTAGACAGTCACAAAATATTAATGAATTAACAAATGATGAATGAATGACTGAATGGGAAGCCTTCTAATCTACTTCTAACAAATTCCAACAAAGGTTAGTCAACCTTCTCATTAAGACACATGTTCCATTGCCTTGTTTTAACAAATTAATATGATTTTTTAATGTACACTGTATGTATTTTAAGGTCATTATGGCAAGAGAAAGATGGCTTTCCATTTAACTCTCTCTAAACTTTAACTCGACAAAATGAATTACATGTGGTCATTGGAATTATAATTAGTGGAATAATTAGATCCACATTTGATCATTACCAGACCTAGAATGTGTGTTCACTAAACAGTGAATAACCAGGCCTTCCTTATTCTGTGCTACAGTTGTAAAAAGAAACCAAAGGTAAGTGTTCTATCCCTTTTAGTGCATAATAATAATAATACCACAAATACTCTAGATATATAATAATAGTTAGAAGGGTGGATTCCTGACTTTTCCACCTAGGTGTTAAGGACAAAAAAGTAACTTGAGATATTGGGGCCACCACAGAGCTTTCTCCTTTTACCCAGGGAAAGTAAGTCTCCACATATTTGTCACCTCTCCATCTATAACGCATCTTTAATGGGTCACATTTTATATTCCCTTCAGCTGAGTATAGAAATGAGTAGTTATTTAAATCATTCCAAAGCTACTGTTAAGTGAAAATATTTAAATATGGAACCGATGTTCAAGTACTGAGGCAATGAAGATATTATTTAGGTCAGCTGAAAAGCAGATACAAGGGTAGGGGTGATCAATTCATAATGCTCAGCACCTGCAGCCAAAGTGACTACAGTGAGAAGCGGCAGCAGGTTATAGGCGTCGAAGGTTTGAGAGCCTCTGCCATTTTGTGAGGGGACCAGGGCATCAGTCTAGAAAAATGACCATAAGCCTCTGTTTCTTTGCTGATGGGACAGGATGTCCATTAGAGCAGGAGGAATTTCTGGAGCAGCAGTTCCCTGAATTGTTCCTGACAAGTGGTCCCAGAGATCCAGCTGGTGGAGAAGTAGGTGGCATTTCAACCCTCACCCCCTTTTCCATTGCTTCAACTGCAGTAGTTCTGCAGATTTCATTTGAAACAATAAATATTTTGTCATGTGGAACATTGCAAAATTATTCTAATTATCTTGAAATAATATAAAAATATAGCTATGAAAGTTCTAATTTTCTTAAAAAAGAGTAATGGTAAGAGGGGTTTGCAGTAAGTTTAATAAAATTGACACCCACAGTAAATAAACCAGCAGAGCCAGGCACAGTGGCACACACGTGAAGTCTCAGCTACTGGGGAGACTGAGGTAGAAGGATGGCTTGAGCCCAGAAGTTTGAGGCTATCCTTGGCAATATAGCAAGACCCTGTCTCTAAAAAATTAAAATTAAATTAAACAGCACGTACTGGCTTAGGAACAGCAGCTAGATCAACTGAATAAGGAGTGCACAAATACTAAATATATATATGGGAATTTATTATATGATAGGGTGTTATTTAAAATCAAATGGAAAATGATAAATTATTCAACATATTTGATATAGGAGCCCTACCACACAACTGCCATAGGGGTTAACAATTTAAATATAAGAAGCAAAATCCTATAAGCACATGATTAAAATACAATTAAAAAAAAAACTTGAGACAGAAAATATTAGAAAGCTGATATGAACACCAAAACCAGAAACCATAAAAGAAACTCTTAATTTTAACTATATAAAAAGTGGTTATCATATGACAAAAATATTAAAAGTGAGATTGAAAGACAACATGTAAAAAACGTATTTGGAATATATAGGCCAACAAAGAGTTGATATTCTTATCCTATCAAGTACTGTTGGTACTATAAAACAAAAAGCCAAACAGAAAAGTATACTAAAAGACATTAATTGTACTTTACTAAAGAAATTTAGATGGCCAATAAATTTATGAAAAAAGCAAAACTCATTAGCATTTAAGGCATATTTATTTTTAAAAATTTGGTTGATTAAAATGTATCATTTTGTCAAACACGTATAATAAATGGTACTCTAATATACTCTGGGTGACTTTGCAACTTTAGTGCAAACTCTGAGAAGGAGCAATTAATCAATATGTATCAGAAGTTAAAGTGTGTATACCTTTTGACCCAGATATTCTATTTCCAGGAACTTATTCAAAGGAAATAAATAATCAGATATATTTGAAAAAAATAAAGATGCTCATTGCGGAACTATTTATAATAGGAATCTGAAGCAACCTACGTGCCACATGTGGATTATTGTCCAGTGTATTATTCAGAATAAGCTAGATTATGCTGCTGTAACAAACAAATTCTGAAGTCATGGAGGTTTTACATCTAAAAGTTTTTTGGGTTTTTCTATTGAGTGTCTGGTGACCTCCTCAAGGCAGCACCTTCTTCAAGGTGTTTCTATCCCATAGCTCCAGCATTTCTGTATAATGCCACTGCAGCAGGACTTGCAAAGGCTTGTCACTGCCTCCATTTATAAGTGACATGCTTGTCACTGCCTCCACTTATAAGTGACATTTTCATTTAGAGCTAATTGGCCAGAGCTAGTTATTTGGCCCTGCCTAACTTAAGGGAACTAGGTTGTGTATCCTTCTCTGTGCCCAGGAAGAAGATAACAAGATATGGGTGAGCTCTAGTACTCTCTACAACATGTAGCCTTTAAAAGTGCTATATAGATCTTTATTTACTAACACAAAAGATTGTCCACAATACGCCATTTAGAGAGAAAAACAAAACATGTTTTAATAATTCATTTGGGCCAGGTGCAGTGACTGACACCTATAATTCCAGCACTTTGGGTGGGTGGGTCGCTTGATCTCTGGATTTCAAGACCAGCCTGGGCAACATGGTGAAACCCCATCTCTACCAAAAATACAAAAAATTAGCCAGGTGTGGTGGTGTATGCCTGTATTCCCAGCTACCTGGGAGGCTGAGGTGGGAGAATCAACCGAGCCTGGGAGATTGAGGTTGGAATAGCCGAGATTGTGCCACTGCACTCCAGCCTGGGCCACAGAGTGAGGCCTTGTCTCAAAAAATAATTCATTTGTTTAGGGGGTGGGAGTAAAGGCACAGACAGGAAAAATATGCAAATATATATCTCTAGATAGAAATGGGAAAAATATGAAAAAATTTATATACTAAAAAGTTACAGTAATTGTTTTTGAGTGATGGGATTATGGATACCTAAGTCTGTTTAACTCAAATTTAGATGTTAACGTGTGTATCCCTAAAGCATAGTAACTGGTACTGTGGCTCACATTCCTAAAGCATAGTAGCTAGCTCTGTGGATCACATTAGAATTTACACTGCCCATTAACTATTCTGGCTCATTTAATCCTCTTAATAACTCTGACATAAAGATTTTATTATATCCATTTAACATATGAAAATCTAACTCAGAATTTAAGTGACTTACCCAATATTAGTCCATAAGCAGGGCTGCAAGGGTCTACCAACTCCAAATACCATGCTCCTTTTTTATTCTTTAATAAATGCAATAATTTATTGGATCCTGATGAAATGTTTTTCATTCCAACAGACTAAGGCTTCCTGGATTCTTGCCATGCAGATCATGGTCTGAGTCTGAAGTTACTCAGATGTCTTTTTTAAACAAAATAAACAAATGAGCAGTTTACGAAGACCTTCTTGCCTCTTTCATGTTTCTACCCTCTTTTCACTTCATATTTATTCTCTGCCTTGTGAACTCCCTCTCTCCTTGCTTCTTTTCTGTCTTCGTAGACAGCTCTTTAAGAAACAACTAGGCCATGCTCTTCATTCTCTTCTTTAACTTTACTGCAGCTCCTCCCCTGTCTGCCTGTACCCATTCCATTTGTTCCACCTTCTGTGCACTGATCTAAGTTTACTACTTTGCTCAGCTGATTAAACTCATCCCAGGTTGACCTTTTGATGGTTTTGGACTCCCTCGGAATCTTTGCATATCGTAATCCGGCACCGTCACATGCATGCTTGTATTCTCACATGTGTAACACCCATTGGTTTACCCAACTAAACTTCTGGAAGGCAAAGACTGTATTCTCTGCCCTTTGCTTCTTTTCTGTTTCATAATGTGGCAGCCATGGACATGCATCAGCTGGTCTCCTTCAAGAGAAACTCCTGGGGGAGGAGCCAAGATGGCCGAATAGGAACAGCTCCAGTCTACAGCTCCCAGCGTGAGCGACGCAGAAGATGGGTGATTTCTGCATTTCCATCTGAGGTACCGGGTTCATCTCACTAGGGAGTGCCAGACAGTGGGCGCAGGTCAGTGGGTGTGCGCACCGTGTGCGAGCCGAAGCAGGGCGAGGCATTGCCTCACTTGGGAAGCGCAAGGGGTCAGGGAGTTCCCTGAGTCAAAGAAAGGGGTGATGGACAGCACCTGGAAAATCGGGTCACTCCCACCCGAATACTGCCCTTTTCCAACGGCCTTAAAAAACGGCTCACCACGAGATTATATCCCACACCTGGCTCGGAGGGTCCTACGCCCACGGAGCCTGGCTGATTGCTAGCACAGCAGTCTGAGATCAAACTGCAAGGCGGCAGCGAGGCTGGGGGAAGGGCGCCCGCCATTGCCTAGGCTTGATTAGGTAAACAAAGCAGCCGGGAAGCTCCAACTGGGTGGAGCCCACCACAGCTGAAGGAGGCCTGCCTGCCTCTGTAGGCTCCACCTCTGGGGGCAGGGCACAGACAAACAAAAAGACAGCAGTAACCTCTGCAGACTTAAATGTCCCTGTCTGACAGCTTTGAAGAGAGCAGTGGTTCTCCCAGCACGCAGCTGGAAATACGAGAACGGGCAGACTGCCTCCTCAAGTGGGTCCCTGACCCCTGACCCCCGAGCAGCCTAACTGGGAGGCACCCCCCAGCAGGGGCACACTGACACCTCACACGGCAGGGTATTCCAACAGACCTGCAGCTGAGGGTCCTGTCTGTTAGAAGGAAAACTAACAAACAGAAAGGACATCCACACCAAAAACCCATCTGTACATCACCATCATCAAAGACCAAAAGTAGATAAAACCACAACGATGGGGAAAAAACAGAGCAGAAAAACTGGAAACTCTAAAAAGCAGAGCGCTTCTCCTCCTCCAAAGGAACGCAGTTCCTCACCAGCAACGGAACAAAGCTGGATAGAGAATGACTTTGACGAGCTGAGAGAAGAAGGCTTCAGACGATCAAATTACTCTGAGCTACGGGAGGACGTTCAAACCAAAGGAAAAGAAGTTGAAAACTTTGAAAAAAATGTAGAAGAATGTATAACTAGAATAACCAATACAGAGAAGTGCTTAAAGGAGCTGATGGAGCTGAAAACCAAGGCTCGAGAACTACGTGAAGAATGCAGAAGCCTCGGGAGCCGATGTGATCAACTGGAAGAAAGGGTATCAGCAATGGAAGATGAAATGAATGAAATGAAGCGAGAAGGGAAGTTTAGAGAAAAAAGAATAAAAAGAAATGAGCAAAGCCTCCAAGAAATATGGGACTATGTGAAAAGACCAAATCTACGTCTGATTGGTGTACCTGAAAGTGATGGGGAGAATGGAACCAAGTTGGAAAACACTCTGCAGGATATTATCCAGGAGAACTTCCCCAATCTAGCAAGGCAGGCCAACATTCAGATTCAGGAAATACAGAGAACACCACAAAGATACTCCTCGAGAAGAGCGACTCCAAGACACATAATTGTCAGATGCACCAAAGTTGAAATGAAGGAAAAAATGTTAAGGGCAGCCAGAGAGAAAGGTCGGGTTACCCTCAAAGGGAAGCCCATCAGACTAACAGCGGATTTCTCGGCAGAAACCCTAGAAGACAGAAGAGAGTGGGGGCCAATATTCAACATTCTTAAAGAAAAGAATTTTCAACCCAGAATTTCATATCCAGCCAAACTAAGCTTCATAAGCGAAGGAGAAATAAAATACTTTATAGACAAGCAAATGCTAAGAAATTTTGTCACCACCAGGCCTGCCTTACAAGAGCTCCTGAAGGAAGCGCTAAACATGGAAAGGAACAACCGGTACCAGCCGCTGCAAAATCATGCCAAAATGTAAAGACCATTGAGACTAGGAAGAAACTGCATCAACTAACGAGCAAAATAACCAGCTAACATCATAATGACTGGATCAAATTCACACATAACAATATTAACTTTAAATGTAAATGGACTAAATGCTCCAATTAAAAGACACAGACTGGCAAACTGGATAAAGAGTCAAGACCCATCAGTGTGCTGTATTCAGGAAACCCATCTCACGTGCAGCGACACCCATAGGCTCAAAATAAAAGGATGGAGGAAGATCTACCAAGCAAATGGAAAACAAAAAAAGGCAGGGGTTGCAATCCTAGTCTCTGATAAAACAGACTTTAAACCAGCAAAGATCAAAAAAGACAAAGAAGGCCATTACATAATGGTAAAGGGATCAATTCAACAAGAAGAGCTAACTATCCTAAATATATATGCACCCAATACAGGAGCACCCAGATTCATAAAGCAAGTCCTGAGTGACCTACAAAGAGACTTAGACTCCCACACGTTAATAATGGGAGACTTTAACACCCCACTGTCAACATTAGACAGATCAACGAGACAGAAAGTCAACAAGGATACCCAGGAATTGAACTCAGCTCTGCACCAAGTGGACCTAATAGACATCTACAGAACTCTCCACCCCAAATCAACAGAATATACATTTTTTTCAGCACCGCACCACACCTATTCCAAAATTGACCACATACTTGGAAGTAAAGCTCTCCTCAGCAAATGTAAAAGAACAGAAATTATAACAAACTATCTCTCAGACCACAGTGCAATCAAACTATAACTCAGGATTAAGAATCTCACTCAAAACCGCTCAACTACATGGAAACTGAACAACCTGCTCCTGAATGACTACTGGGTACATAACGAAATGAAGGCAGAAATAAAGATGTTCTTTGAAACCAACGAGAACAAAGACACAACATACCAGAATCTCTGGGACACATTCAAACAGTGTGTAGAGGGAAATTTACAGCACTAAATGCCCACAAGAGAAAGCAGGAAAGATCCAAATTGACACCCTAACATCACAATTAAAGGAACTAGAAAAGCAAGGGCAAACACATTCAAAAGATAGCAGAAGGCAAGAAATAACTAAGAGCAGAACTGAAGGAAATAGAGACACAAAAACCCTTCAAAAAATTAATGAATCCAGGAGCTGGTTTTTTGAAAGGATCAACAAAATTGATAGATCGCTAGCAAGACTAATAAAGAAGAAAAGAGAGAAGAATCAAATAGACGCAATAAAAAATGATAAAGGGGATATCACCACCAATCCCACAGAAATACAAACTACCATAAGATAATACTACAAACACCTCTACGCAAATAAACCAGAAAATCTAGAAGAAAAGGATAAATTTCTGGACACATGCACTCTCCCAAGACTAAACCAGGAAAAAGTTGAATCTCTGAATAGACCAATAAACAGGAGCTGAAATTGTGGCAATAATCAATAGCTTACCAACCAAAAAGAGTCTAGGACCAGATAGATTCACAGCCGAATTCTACCAGAGGTACAAGGAGGAACTGGTACCATTCCTTCTGAAACTATTCCAATCAATAGAAAAAGAGGGAATCCTCCCTAACTCATTTTATGAGGCCAGCATCATTCTGATACCAAAGCCGGGCAGAGACACAACAAAAAAAGAGAATGTTAGACCAATATCCTTGATTAACATTGATGCAGAAATCCTCAATAAAATACTGGCAAAATGAATCCAGCAGCACATCAAAAAGCTTATCCACCATGATCAAGTGGGCTTCATCCCTGGGATGCAAGGCTGGTTCAATATACGCAAATCAATAAATGTAATCCAGCATATAAACAGAGCCAAAGACAAAAACCACATGATTATCTCAATAGATGCAGAAAAAGCCTTTGACAAAATACAACAACCCTTCATGCTAAAAACTCTCAATAAATTAGGTATTGATGGGATGTATTTCAAAATAATAAGCGCTATCTATGACAAACCCACAGCCAATATCATACTGAATGGGCAAAAACTGGAAGCATTCCCTTTGAAAACTGGCACAAGACAGGGATGCCCTCTCTCACCACTCCTATTCAACATAGTGTTGGAAGTTCTGGCCAGGGCAATTAGGCAGGAGAAGGAAATAAAGGGTATTCAATGAGGAAAAGAGGAAGTCAAATTGTCCCTGTTTGCAGACGACATGATTGTATATCTAGAAAACCCCATTGTCTCAGCCCAAAATCTCCTTAAGCTGATAAGCAAATTCAGCAAAGTCTCAGGATACAAAATCAATGTACAAAAATCACAAGCATTCTTATACACCAACAACAGACAAACAGAGAACCAAATCATGAGTGAACTCCCATTCACAATTGCTTCAAAGAGAATAAAATACCTAGGAATCCAACTTACAAGGGATGTGAAGGACCTCTTCAAGGAGAACTACAAACCACTGCTTAATGAAATAAAAGAGGATACAAACAAGTGGAAGAACATTCCATGCTCATGGGTAGGAAGAATCAATATCGTGAAAATGGCCATACTGCCCAAGGTAATTTACAGATTCAATGTCATCCCCATCAAGCTACCAATGACTTTCTTCACAGAATTGGAAAAAACTACTTTAAAGTTCATATGGAACCAAAAAAGAGCCTGCATCACCAAGTCAATCCTAAGCCAAAAGAACAAAGCTGGAGGCATCACACTACCCGACTTCAAACTATACTACAAGGCTACAGTCACCAAAACAGCATGGTACTGGTACCAAAACAGAGATATAGATCAATGGAACAGAACAGAGCCCTCAGAAATAATGCTGCATATCTACAACTATCTGATCTTTGACAAACCTGAGAAAAACAAGCAATGGGGAAAGGATTCCCTATTTAATAAATGGTGCTGGGAAAACTGGCTAGCCATATGTAGAAAGCTGAAACTGGATCCCTTCCTTACACCTTATACAAAAATCAATTCAAGATGGATTAAAGACTTAAATGTTAGACCTAAAACCATAAAAACCCTAGAAGAAAACCTACGCATTACCATTCAGGACATAGGCATGGGCAAGGACTTCATGTCTAAAACACCAAAAGCAATGGCAACAAAAGACAAAATTGACAAATGGGATCTAATTAAACTAAAGAGCTTCTGCACAGCAAAAGAAACTACCATCAGAGTGAACAGGCAACCTACAAAATAGGAGAAAATTTTCGCAACCTACTCATCTGACAAGGGCTAATATCCAGAATCTACAATGAACTCAAACAAATTTACAAGAAAAAAACAAACAACCCCATCAAAAAGTGGGTGAAGGACATGAACAGACACTTCTCAAAAGAAGACATTTATGCAGCCAAAAGACACATGAAAAAATGCTCATCATCACTGGCCATCAGAGAAATGCAAATCAAAACCACAATGAGATACCATCTCACACCAGTTAGAATGGCAATCATTAAAAAGTCAGGAAACAACAGGTGCTGGAGAGGATGTGGAGAAATAGGAACACTTTTATACTGTTGGTGGGACTGTAAACTAGTTCAACCATTGTGGAAGTCAGTGTGGCGATTCCTCAGGGATCTAGAACTGGAAATAAATACCATTTGACCCAGCCATCCCATTACTGGGTATATACCCAAAGGACTATAAATCATGCTGCTATAAAGACACATGCACACGTATGTTTATTGCGGCATTATTCACAATAGCAAAGACTTGGAACCAACCCAAATGTCCAACAATGATAGACTGGATTAAGAAAATGTGGCACATATACACCATGGAATACTATGCAGCCATAAAATATGATGAGTTCATATCCTTTGTAGGGACATGGATGAAATTGGAAATCATCATTCTCAGTAAACTATCGCAAGAACAAAAAACCAAACACCGCATATTCTCACTCATAGGTGGGAATTGAACAATGAGATCACATGGACACAGGAAGGGGAACATCACACTCTGGGGACTGTTGTGGGGTGGTGGGAGGGGGAGGGATAGCACTGGGAGATATACCTAATGCTAGATGACGAGTTAGTGGGTGCAGCGCACCAGCATGGCACATGTATACATATGTAACTAACCTGCACAATGTGCACATGTACCCTAAAACTTAAAGTATAATAAAAAAAAGAGAGAAACTCCTGTAGGAAGTGTAGTTAAATGGTAGCCCCAGCTCCCACCCCTCTGAATGTACTACCACCTTCATGGTGAGGCCACGCTTCCCCTGGGCTACTCCCCACTAATGACGAACATGACAGAGTGCTGGCACTGGACCATTCCTGTGGGATGTGAGACTCCTGCGAGGGGCAACCTCAACTCTGTGTACTAGCTTCTTGTGACTGCCATAACAAATTACTGCATATTAGGTGGCGTAAAACAACAGAAATATAGTCTATCACACAGCTTTGGGGCCAGAAGTCTGAAATAAATGTGTTGGCAGGGCTGGTTCCTTCCAGAGGCTCTAGGGGAGAATCCATGTCATGCTTCTTTCCTAGTTTCTGGTGGCTGCCAGCAGTCCTTGTTGATCCTTAGCTTATAACTGCAACATCTACCTCTGTCTTCACATGACCTCTGTGTGTATGTAATTCTTTTTTTTCTTTTCTTTTTTTTTTTTTTTTTTGAGACAGAGTCTCACTCCTCTTGCTCAGGCTAGAGTGTAGTGGTGCTATCTTGGCTCACTGCAACCTCCGCCTCCCAGTTTCAAGCAATTCTCTTGCCTCGGCCTCCTGAATGGCTGGGACTCCAGGTGCACACCACCATGCCTGGCTAATTTTTGTATTTTTTAGTAGAGATAGGGTTTCATTCACCATGTTGGCCAGGCTGGTCTTGAACTCCTGACCTCAAGTGATCCACCAGCCTTGGCCTCCCAAAGTGCTGGGATTACAAGTATGAGCCACTGCACCCGGCCTCTGTGTCTTCTTATAAAGACACTTATCATTTGATTTAGGGCCCACCTGGATAATACAGAATTATCTTGTCTTGAGAACCTTAATTATATCTGCAAAGCCCTTTTCCAAATAAGGTCACATTCAAGGTCTCGGGTGAACATATCTTTAGGGGAATGGGTGGAAGGGTGCACCATTCAACCTATTATGCTCAATGAATTTTGGTAAACGTGGCCAAAACTTCCTCAAAACTGTACTGTTGTCAAAGTCTTTCCTATCTAACCCTCTTCCCTCTCTCCTTTCATGTGTGTCAGACCTGCATTGTCTTAAGTGCTCTCCTGTATATTCCTACTTCCTTTCCTTTTATTCTTCATAAGCATTTCCTCAAATAAATCTCTTGCATGTCTATCTCTTCTTGGTGAGTGTTTCTCAGAGGACCTGAACTGATGCACATAGTATCTGTTGAATGCTTAATACCTGTTTCTGAATGAATATTAGTGCAAGGGTTTCTTCTTTCCATTACACTTCAAAACAGGAATGAACTGAATTTTGTAGACAATATCCTAATTTTCCTGCATCCTGATTCTTCCTTTTTGATCGCATAGGCCAATCATTCTTAATATTTTTCTACTTTCCCGTGTGTCACACTCCTCAGACTGCTGTACAAAAGCAGAGAAGGCAGGGCATAGCTGATCCTGCCTTACTAACTTAAACCCTTTCCTTTTTCCTCTCACTCAAGGAAGCACAGCATAATAAAAAGACTTGGATAATCTGGAGCTACTCTAATTTATTTTTAAAAGCAAATAATTTGTAAATTTTGGACTATTTTCTTATCGCTAGTTATAACTTCTTTCAACACACTTCATAATTGATTCTGACATACCAGTACATTGCAATATCACAGTTAAGAATATTGCTGTAAATACAAGAAAACACAGCCTACAAGAGTGTCCAACAGATGAGTGCAAATAATAAAATCATGCTTTATGAATGGAATCATAAACGATTTTGCAATCAAAATAATAAATGCAGTTCAGAAAATATTAATGCACTTCAGTTGGTAATTGCATTTGCCATTATCAAGTGCTCAGTAATATAGTACTTAGCTATTCTAAAGTCACTCAGGTATGTTAAACAATTAAACATGAGTCTGGGGAATAGCTTTGTTTAGCCTTTTTCAATTATAACCATGTATCATATTCAGTGTTTTCTGTATTAACTCTATGAGACAATAGTATTTTAAAGAATTGTATTACAACAGTTGTAATAGAACAGTTGTACTAAACGACTTTCCCTCACTATTTCTCAAACTTTCTATACTATCTTGCTGAACTTATTTTAATGAATAAATTAAAATATTTAAACCCTAGACATTTATATTAATAAAAACCTAATTTTTAATTCAAGAAAGTCCAGCTTCCAACAATCCCATGTTCTTTAAATAGTGACCACTGACCACCATGACAGTAACTTCATGGCAAAAGTGTGAAACTCTATTTATAAATTAAACCATTAAGTAATACCATTTAGTTACATAGCCGAAATGCTATTGTGCATAGGTAAAAGCATTCTCATCAAACTAAAGCACTTTACAATGTAACAATCTGGACCTGGTTTTATAATGCCACAATCCCACCCCACCCTGTCCATCTTTTTATTTGTTTTTAGGGAAAAAAAGAACTAAATAAGAACATTTGGAAATGGCAGTCAAATTATATCTGGAAATACTTAAGGCAATAACCCATGTGGCTCTAATGTGTAAAAGCATGTCTGACAAGGTATGGCTCAGGTCCTAGAGCAGTGTACCTCCAAGACAATTCAAATATTAGCACCTTTAGAGTACAAAACTAAGATTTGTAAGATGGTGCTTTTAAGTGAGCCATCCTCTTGTGTGGAAAAAGTCTGTCCCTGCTCATATTAATCTAAAGACAAAATTAAAGAACGCTTTTATGAAATTAGTGGGATTTAAGCCACTGGATGAACATAAGAGATCTGCCTCAAGGTAAGTTTCTGTTATTGGACATTCTTGATTGGATCACGAAAGTGCCCTAAAAATCTAAATGTCTGTCAAAGGCCCCAAGTCCTCCGCCTTTTTGGCAGGGGCTCTCAGCAGACATGGTGCTATGGCAAACACTCAAGTAGGGAAACCACCTCAGTTTGCCGGGGACTGAGGGGCTTCTTGAGATGTGAGACTACCAGTCCTAAAATTCGGACAGTCCCAGGCAAACTAGAAAGATTTGGTCACTCTACCAACCCTCATGTTCCTGGACCCCTTTTACTGCTTTTCCAACAGCATATGTGGGATAGTATTCTCAAGGAAGATTTTGATTCAACTGGAGTGGATTACCTCTTGCCAGCAAGACTCATAACCCTGCCACTTGCCAAATATCAGGGGAAAAAATTTCAGAGCTGCCACTTCTTCCCTAGACAGCCCAGGTGTCCTCTGTGACTATCAATACAGTACGAGCTCTGAACTCATGCGCTCCCTGTCTCAATTTCTGCCTCACCTCTTGCCCCAGGCACTGATGTGCTAAGGTTCTGAGTAAACCCCATGGGATTATGGAATTTGATCTGCTTCTGTTGCTGAGCACATATTTTATTTATAATGAGTCATTTGTTCACTTGTTCAGCTCAACAAATATTTGTTGATTGCTAAATATGCGGTAGGCACTCTTCTACTCGCTACAGATACTTTAATGGGCAAAACGGGGAAAGTACCTGTGCTCAAAGAGTTTATATTTTAAAAAGGGAGAAGAGGACAATTAAAAAAACTAAAAGAACCAGATAGTTCGGTTGATCACAAGTTCTCTAAATTCAGTAAAATTCAGTGATTTTCATTAACAATCACTAATAAGTAGCAGTCAGGTTCTCAGACATAGCTGTGGCTTTGGGAGCAAATAATACAGTTCTAAAGTAGGGTTTCTCAGAATTTAGTATACATATAGATTTCCTGGGGATTTTGTTAAAATACAGATTCTGATTCAGTAGGCCTGGGGTGGGGCCATAGATTCTGTTTTCTAACAGGCTTGCAGATGATGTGTTACTCCAAGTCTGGGGACCATACTTTGAGTAGCAATGTTCTAAAGATATTAATAGGGAATTATGCTTGTAAGGGAAAGCTCAAACTATTGGCTCCTCTTAGGAAAGATGGGCTCAGAATGGTCATTGCTCTAGGTCTCCTGGAGAATTCTGGATGTCAGAAGAGACTTGGGATTAAGAATCGAAAATCATGGAAACTCCTGTGAAAATAGGATGTTCTTTCAGAGAGCAGGAAAATCCAAAGCATATTATAACTAACTACAAACATTATGTTCAATTTTTTTATTGTTCATATACTGGCATTTGCTGCATTCAGGCTTCATTTGGAATCTTAAATATCATACCTCATGTTTGAAAGTGAACCAAACACAACAATCCTTTTTTTATTTTTTGCCCAGTGTACCTCCCCATCTCAACTTTGACCTAATACATCATTTTCAAATATAATTTTTATAAACAACAGGATTCCAGTGGTACAAATGGCCTGGTCACCAATCTTTACAGTACACGTCTTACAAGGGGCAACTTAATTTGTGACCCTCTTTTTAACTGAGCTGGGAGAAACAGCAGTAGAGTAGCAGTGAGTAAGCAAGAATCCTGTGTACAGGGAAGATCCGGGCCCAGTGCGGCTCATCTAGGTACCACTTTACAACTCCTATCATCACATCAGCAGAACCACAACAAGCTCTGTGCAAGCCAAAGGGGAAAGTGCCATTGTAAAACTGAAGACAGCTGCTTTCATAATAGAACTAATTGCACACTGCATCAGAGAACCAAATTAGTGGTGAAAACAGTTATAAAAAACGACAGACAGTGAAACATGACTCACTTAGGAACTGCTGCCAGTCAGGCACATTGTCATTGGACACTGTTCAAAAACCCACACCTGCATTTTTTGAATAGTAAACATATAAGATGTAATTACCAGGAAAACATATGCCACTTTTCAAATGTGACAACACTACATTTTTGCCTTTGGACCATGAATGGCATGGGACTAAACTGACCACAATACTCTATTCATTCCCAGGATTTTTCGCAGATAAAGCAAAGCATAATCAAAGCTTACAACCCCCTATTCATACTTAAGAGACTATCTTTAGCCTAAGAAATTTTAAAGGATCTGTTTTGCTGACAGAGATTCCTAAATGTCCTCTAGACCATCAATGAAGGAAACATCAACACTGGAGATATAAGAAGCATCAATTCTAAAATGCATATGCTTATATAGGCTCAGCTTAAAAATTCAAGCTGCAGTCGTTTGGGGTGTCTTCCCTGGTTTCCCTCTCAACTATACAGTAATTGCTGTCTCAATAACAAACAGGTGTTCAGAAAAGACTTCCACTGTTCTTGTAGTCTAAGCTCACATTTCTGCATTCTCAGCTGCAATCTGCATTAGAGAATTTGCAGGTTCCCCATGTGATACATATATGTCCTCATGCCAGCTACAACCGAAAGGATGATGCTTTTTCCATCATGATGGGTAGGTGGCTACCAGTGATGACAAACTCCTTGGCTTCTAATCAACTAGGTATAGAATAATGACCACTGAGAAAATGTGCTTTAGGCTGAAGCATGACAGTTTATCCTTAAACAACAGCTCACACCCTCAATGCTGTTTTTAAATATTTAAATTGTGTTGAACAGCATTCATTCACAAAGAAGGGTGAGTAGAATTTCATTCCAAAACAAATCACAGAATAAAACCTGTTCAATATCCTCATGAAGATCGTGCCGGTGGAATGTTCCAGTGTTGGCTAATGGAGCCCTGAAATTGCTGATGAATTGTATAACTATATAGTGACTAATCCTTCTTTCTCCTGCTCAATTAATTAGTCAAACCTAAACATAAATCCAGAAATACTTGTGAGAACTCTGCTGGTTTTTGTCAACACATAAGAGGTAGGTACTGAAAATGATCATCATTTTCTTCATGTGAAAGATGTGGAGGATTATATAAATATTTTTCAAAGATTGTATTACTTCACAAGTTCTAGAGATGCTTGTGTAAGCAAAAGAAGGTATGTGACAATTGGTTTGAGAGTATGAGGAGTGTGTATTCAGTTCAAGATGAGGAACTGTGTGTAGCATTTTTAAATTTTACTGTAATTCTTTACATATTTTCTTCCCCTCCGATGGTGAGTTCCTTAAAGACAGGAATCATCTTATTCATCTTTGAATCTCCAACATTTAGCAGTAGGTGTCCGATCAGTCTTGGCAGTTGTTGGGTTCTCTTTATCTGAATTTGCCTCATTGATCGCTTCAAGATTCAACATGATTGGCAGGTTTGGCTAAGAAGCAACCCCCTCTCCAAGAAATCAGAGCAAGATTCTTCTCAGAGAAACAGAGAAGCCTGCAGAGCAGCTGCTTAGCTTACAGGCTGATTCAAAGGATGGGGTACAAATATGCAAGCAAATTAGGTTCTTAGGTCTCATTCTTCAGCACCATTTCTGAAGGAAGGAGGAAGAGAATCTTTTAGGCTCTTCAAACTCCTCAGCTGATAGCATTGCTATATCAACTATGGGAATGTAAGCTAGACAATTTGGATCCAAATCTTTTTTCAGCTATATCTATTGTCCAGACTCAAAATGTTAAGCTGGAGGATTTACAGCACAGGATGGAAACATCCATCCTATTGTTTGCATTTATCTGTATGGGCCAAATATGGATAGTCTTTGGAATGTGTATTAAATAGTGAAAATTCAGGGCTCTATGCATAACGCTAAAATAACTGGGATATATGTTTAAGAAACCTAGATTTTTCTGAAAATGTTGAGTATAAAACACTAAGGAATAAACGTATTTGCCAAGCATTGAAAATCTTTCAGAAACCATGTTATCAGCATCTTGTTAGCAATACATAAAACTTAGTGCTAGCCAAGTGCTAACAAATAATCTCTATGCTGGCAGCACACTAATTCCTTGGTCTTAAATTTTTTTTTTCCCCTCATATGGAATGTTTTAGCAAGTTGTTGAGTTTTACTACTTCAGCTTTAGGAACTGCTTCTCTCAATTCCTTTGGCGTTCTGAGCAGCTTGTGATTTCCTTCATTTAATCTTTCTGTGTCCCCCTTAAAAACTATGAACCATTACTCCTCTTTAAATAAAATTAGTAAGAAAGTTAGAATACATGGGACAAAATTTTTGAAATATCAGTTCAAAGAAAGAATAGCACCCATACAACTCCACAACCCCAGGACCTGGGAGTCAGATTTTCTTTGGGATCATAACAAAAGCCCCAAATACCATGAGTGGAAGAACCTAAAAAGGGGTGCATCCACTTCCTGATTCTCCTCAAATCCAGAGGTTTCCATGGGGTCAGGGAAGGCTTTACAAGAGAATGAGCCAATGGTAAGTTATGAAGAAGTGGTTACGAGTAAGGGATCATAAATAAGCCTTTAAAAGACAGCTGACCCTTGAATAACATGGGTTTTGAAATGCATGGGTTTACTTAAACTTGAATTTTCTTCTGCTTATGCTGCCCCTGAGACAGCAAGACCAAGGTCTCCTCTTCCTCTTCAGCCTACTCAATGTGAAAACAATGAGAATGAAGACCTCTGTGATGATTCACTCCCACTTAATAAATAGTAAATATATTTTCTCGTCTTTGTGATTTTCTTAATATCATTTGTTCTCTAGCTTAGTTTATTGTAGGAATATAGTATATTATACATATATAAAATATGTGTTAATCAAGTGTTTATGTTATTGATAAGGCTTCTGATCAATAATAGGCTATTAGTAGTTAAGTTTTGGAAGGGTCAAAAGTTATGTGTGGATTTTCAACTGCAAGGTAGGTCAGTACTCCTAACCCCCATGTTGTTTAAGTGTCAATTGTATGCTAATATTCAGTAACATTAAACATTAAAGATAGTTTATAAGTAAGAGAATAATCAATACTATTTTTAAGGAATTTATTAAACATCTATAATGAGAAAACAAAGATATGTTATTTAAGCAATAGCTTATTTCTCTATAGCGCTTTATAATTATATTATGTTCATCTGATCCTTATAAAAATCCTATTTAAAAAAGCAGGGTAGATATTAACAAATTTTACAGAGGTAGAAACATAGTAGGTGCTCAGTGCTACAACTGATGTGTCATAATTCTCTGTTATTAGAGATGAAAACTTTAAAAAATTAAGTTTATTTGGAACTGAGATGTTTGTGTTAAACATATGCAAAATTTATAATACTAGAAATTATGAAATAAAGGACAGGCTAGCAAAAGTGGTTGTGGAATTGTGTTTTCCTAGAGGCCTTTAAGAACATTAAGAGATTTTCATTTCTCTGTGATGTTTTAACGCTGATGGGCTCATGAATCCACCTTAGCTAGGGATTGGTTCTCCATTGGCCCCTTCCAGAATTTAAACTAATTTGTAAAACTCAGGACTGGCTATATAATTTGTGGGACACTCCTGCTTAGAAATTAAGAATTTCAAGATGGTGATCATAGAGCACTAAGCCAAGCATGGGGCCCAGTGTGAATGCACAGGTTGTGCCAGCTGGCCCTGGTAGCTTCTTAGCTAAATGAAGGGTTATGATCACAAATGCAAATCCAAAGCAATGAAATGTTACTGCTACCACCAAGCATGTGGATTTTCTGATTCATTGATTATATTCTGTTTCCAATCACAAGTCTGCATGTATTTGGTAGTCAATGCAACAAGGTTACTAAGAAATTCTAAAAAACCGAACAGAAACCTGATGAATCCAGAATATGGGAGCTAGGAGTAAGTTATTTCCTTAGGTTAATGCTATGATACATAAACTACTATATTTAGAAAAAAGTGATAATAGAAAATTAAGAAAATTTTCAAATTCACATTGACAGAAAACAAGAAACAATGTAACTTGCACTTAAAGATTTATTGTTAAAAAATATATATTTATTTTATAGACATTTGAAACATTGGACTAAACAGTAAACAGTTTCATATATATATATTTCTTTATCTGTTAGCATGTGCTTGTGAATGTATAGTTGTCTCTCAGTATACATGGGGGATTGGTTCTAGGAACCCCTGCAAATACCAAAATTCAGAATATATAAGTGCCTTATATCAAACAGTGTAGTATTTGCATATAACCTATACATATCCTCCGGTATATGTTAAATCACCTTTAGATTACTTATACTCCCAATAAAATGTAAATGTAAATAGTTGTTATACTTTATTGTTTAGGGAATATGACACAAAAAGTCTGTACATGTCCACAATTTGTTTTTGCAAATATTTTTGATCTGACTGCTTGAATACACACATGTGGAACCCACAAATGTGGAGAGGTAACTGTACACACACAAAAAAATCCATTTCCCATCCTCCACTCCCACCTCTCCACCTCATCTTAACATTGTATTGTAAGCATTTTTATGTCATCATTGAAAACATAATTTTCAAAAGCTATATAACATCCCAACATAAAAATTAAAAATGCAATCCTTTCCATATTCTTGAAAATTTACATTGTAGGGTAATTTTGCCATTGTTTTATTTGTTTGTTTTGCTCTCATAACAGTGGTATACAGATCTTTGTCCATATGAATTGACCTAACTTAAATAAAGGATATTTGAGTTTATGAAGATCCTGATATATATATTATTCATATTTCCCCCAAAATTTGTGGCAATTTAAACTCTCACAAACCATATATGAATGTCCAGTTCCTACACCCTCGTTATCATTAAATATTACCATGTGTGTTTTCTTTAATTTTGCCAATTTCAAAGATAAAAATAATGCTATCTACTTATTTAACAAAGCTTTTTATTAGTACTGAGATTAAATTATATCATTTTTTATTTTCCATTTGCATGTTTTCTATTATGAATCATCAGTTCGTGTCCTTTTTCCTATTTTAAAATCAAGATAATAGGGTTTTCACCCTAAAGACTCTGCCAAAACTTGCAAGAGCTGATAAAAGACTTCAGTAAAGTTTCAGGATATAAAATCAATGTACAAAAGCCAGCAGCATTTCTATACACCAGTAATATTCAAGCCAAGACTCAAATCAAGAATACAATACCATTTACAACAGCCACACAAACAAAATACCTAAGAATATATGTAACCAATAAGGTGATATATCTCTACAAGGAGAACTACAAAACACTGCTAAATGGAATCATAGATGACACAAATAAATGGAAAAATATTCCATGCTCATAGACTGGAAGAATCAGTATTGTTAAAATGGCCATACTGCCAAAATCAATCCATAGGTTCAATGCTATTTTTATCAAACTACCAATGTAATTTTTCACATAATTAGAAAAAAAATTCTAAAATTCATATGGAACCCCCTCCCCCAAAAAAAGAGCCCAAATGGCTAAAGCAATCCTAAGCAAAAATAAAAAAGCCAGAGGTATCACGTTACTCAACTTCAAGCTACACTATAAGGCCACAGCAACCCAAAGAGCATGCTATTGGAAAAAAAAAAAAAAAAAAAAAGACACATAGGCCAATGAAACAGAATACAGAACCCGGAAATAAAGCCATACACCTACAGCCATTTGATTTTCAACAAAATTGGCAAAAATAAGCAATGGGGAAAGGACTCACTACTCAATAAATGGTGCTGGGACAGCTGGCTTAAGAATGAAACAGCACCTACCTTTTACCATATAAAAAAATTAGCTCAAGATAGATTGCAGGTTTAAATATAAAACTTCAAACGATAAGAATTCCAGATGAAAACCTAGAAAACATCATTCCGGACATGGGCCTTGGGAGAGAAATGTCTAAGACCTCAAAAGCAATTGCCACAAAACAAAATTGATAAGTGGGACCTAATTAAACTAAAGAGCTTCTGCACAACAAGAGAAACTGTCAACATAGTAAACAGACAACCTACAGAATGCAAGAAAATATTTGCAAATAATACATCCAACAAAGGTCTAATATTCGGAATCTATAAGGAACTTAAACAATTCAGCAAAAAAAAAAAAAAAACAAAAAAAAAAACCCATTAAAAAGTGGGAAAAGACATGATCAGACACTTCTCAAAAGGAGACATACAAGCAGCAAACAAATATATAAAAAACGTTCAGCATCACTAACCATCAGAGGAAGTAAATAAAAACCACTAAGAGACATCACTGCACACCAGTCAGAATGACAATTACTAAAAAGTCCAAGAACAGCAGATGCTGGCGAGGCTGAAGAGAAAATGAAATGCTTATATACTATTGGTGGAAATATAAATTAGTTCAGCCACTGTGGAAAGCAGTTTAGAGATTTCTTTCTCAAAGTACGTAAAGCAGAACTACCGTTCAACCCAGCAATCTCATTACTGAATATGTACCCAAAGGAAAATAAATCATTCCACCAAAAAGACCCAGGCACTCACATATTCATCACAGCACTATTCACAGATAATAGCAGATATATGGAATCAATCTAGGGGCCCATCAATGGTGGATTAAAGAAAATGTGGTCCATATATGCTGTGGAATACTACACAGCTATAAGAAAGAATGAAATCATGTCCTTTGCAGCAACCAGGATGCACCTGGAGGCCATTATCCTAAGTAAATTAACACAGGAACAGAAAACCAAATACCGTGTTTTCTCACTTATAAGTGGGAGCTAAACATTGGGTACTCATGGAATAAAGATGGCAATAATAGACACTGGAAACTACTGGGGGGTTGAAAACCTACTATGTTCACTACCTGTGCTTCAGGATCATCCGTACCTCAAACCTCAGCATCACACAATATGTCCATGTAACAAACGTGCAAATGTTCCCCCTGAATCTGAAATAGAAGTTGAAATTATTTTTAAAAAGTAACAGTGTTTTCTTATTGATTTACAAAGGTATCTTTATAGGTGAAGTTTATCTATCATTATCTGTCACCTTGGTTATAAATATTTGTGTAAATTTGAAGTTTGCTTTTTGATCATATTTGAGGTTCAAGAATGTTTCATTTTTATAGGCATAATATTAATTATTTTCCCCTATTAATTTTATTAACAGAATGCCATTTTATATACTGAGATGAGTTGAATATTTATCTATTTTAATTTGTTTGATTTTAAAATACTTAATCATTTAAATCATATGAAATTTATTTTTGTGTATTGTGTGAACCCGACATTGTCTTGATTTCTTTTCCCTAAATATCCAATTTTCTCAACACTCAAATGCAGCCTAATTTTATTAATTGGTGATGTTTTCTTTGTCATAAAGTTTTAAAAAATAAATATTAGGTTGTTTTCAGAGTTTTGAGTTTCATTCAGTTGATCTGCCAATTGATTCTCTGTGCTAGTGCTACTGTTTGTATTATCAGTTTCACAATGTTAAGAATTCTTTTTCAATTTTTTATATAAGTTGTAAATTTATCGTTTGTGATGATTTTTGAATTATTTTTATAACTTATTTTTATAATTCTTATTATATTTATAACCTATTTATATATTATAATTTATTAGGTTGATGCAAAAGTAATTGCAGGTTTTGCTATTACTTTTATATGGCAAAAACCATAAATACTTTTGCACCAGCCTAATATTATAAAATTATTTTAATAAAACCTTAATGTATCAAGATTACATTAAGCCCATGAATTCATTTAGGAGAGCTGTCTTAACATTTCATTTATTCAACAAGTATTTATTGAGCACATATCATGAAACAGGCCCTGGTCTGAGTGCTGAGGTTGCAGCAATGAATCCAAAGTTTTTGCCCCAGGAGGCTTATTTCTGGCTTATCCAAGGATATTGCATCCTTTTCAACACATTATTTTAAATCATATTTTATATATTTTAGTAAGGCTTTTTTTCAATGCGATAACTTCATGCATATGGATCCCATCATTTCCAGTTGTAAATAGAATTTCTAATTCTTCTAGAATTTTATACTGTGTTTGTTTTTAGCTTACCATTATATTTTAAATGGCTCAGTGCCATATTGTAGGAGCAACACAATAACAAAATCTTGTTGAGTGGATAAATTTATAATTTCATTAAACATGTGAATGGAATTTTTTTCTTCAACTTGTTATTTCTGGTATATATTATATTAGTTATCTATTGCTACATACCAAATTACTCCCAATAGCAGCTCAAAACAACATGTAAGTATTATTTCACAGTTTTTGTGGTTCAGGAATTGGCCATTGCTTAGCCAGATTCTCTGCTTCATGCTCTTTCAAAAATCTATAATCAAGGTGTTAGCCCAGAGTCTGTGGTCTTAACTGAAGGTTCAACTGGGGAAGGATCCACTTGCAAGCTCATCCATACAGTTGCTGGCAGGATTCAGTTCCTTGAGGGCTGATGGCTAGAGGTCATTCTCAGTATCTTGACAGATTGGAACCTTGAACATGCTAGCTTGTTTTACCAAAGAAAACAAAAGGAAGTGTCTGCTAACATGAAGGAAACCACAGTCTTATGTAGCAGTGTTAAGGGGATCATGGATTTTATTTATAGCAACCATAGCAGGTTCTCACATTGAAAATCTGAGGAAGATCCTTCATGGTTCTGACTAGAAAAGAGGAGTAATCATTGTGCAATATGACCAGCTTCTTAGCAAAGAACTACTGTCCAGGGGCAAAGACATTACCGCAGCTCTATCTCAGCCGAGGAAAGGGCATTTCTCCCATTCCAGTCTCCTCTAACCTTTCTGTCTCACCAAAAGGGGGAAGTGAGAGCAGAGGGTAGAGCTATATTTTTCTGAAGTTCACAACTCAGAGACACATGCCTAAACAATGGGAGTATATTGTAAGATGTTACAATGCTTCCCCTCCTCCATACTTCACCACCACATTAACAGGGCTTCAGTATAATAGTAGATCATAGCTGAAAGAGCTGCAAGACATAGATGCTCTTTGAAGAGTAGAACTTAGGGAAGCCCCAAGTCAAATGGGGAAAAAACAAAGACATTAGAGGAAGGTGAGTCCTTTTGCACCTATAGCTACAGAAAATTTTAAACACAATCCAACTTTTAGCCAGATTAGCATAAATCCTCACACTGAAGGCCTATTTGCCTCCTATTACCCAACACAATATGTCTAGTTTTCAGCAAAAATTTACAAAGCATATAAAAGGCAAACATAGTCTGAAGAGACAAAACAACTATCTGAATTAGGCTCAGACATGGCATAGCTTTTGGAATTAGGGTTGGGAATTTAAATTCAGATGGAATTGAAAATAGCTATGCTTAATATGTTAAAGACTCTAATAGAAAAAGTAAACAACACTCAAGAATATTTGGGTAATGTAAGCAGAGAGACAGAAAGTCTAATAAATAATCTAGAGAAATAAAAGAAAACACTATTAAAGAAATTATAAGTGTCTCTGATGGGCTTATAAGTACACTCAAAACAACCAAAGAAAGAGTCAGTGAGCCTGAAGAAAATAAGTCAACAGAAACATTCTAAACTGAAGTACAAAAAGAAACAAGAATTAAAGTTAAAAAAAGAAAACAAACAGAATAGAACCCCAAAGAAATGTGGGAAAATTTCAAAAGGCATAATATCTCCATAATTGGAATACCAGAAGCAGAAGAAATTGAGGACAGGGCAGAAAAATTATCTGAAGTAATAATGGCTGCAAATTTTCCAAAATTAATGAGACACCAAACCACAGATCCAGGAAGCTCAGAGAACACCAACCAGGATAAATACACAAAACAAACCAAAAAACCCAGAAAAACAAAGAAACAAAAAATCTAGGCATATCATAATCAACCTGCAGCAAATCAAGCACAAAGAAAAAATCTTGAAAGAAGCCAAAGTGGGGCAAGGAAGACACTGGACTATAGAGGAATAAGGACAAGAATTACTGTACACTTCCCATTGAAAACCATGCAAGTAAAAACAGAGTGGAAGTAAATATTTAAAGTACTGAAAGAAAAAAAAATCTAGAATTCCATGTCCAGCAAAATTATCTTTTAAAAGTGAGGGAGAAATACTTTCTCAGGTAAGCAAAAACTGAGGTAATTAATCACCAGTAGACATACCCTGAAAAAAATGTTAAGATTTCTTCAGGAAGAAAGAAGTTAGAAAGTTGACTCTATATTCAGAAAACAGAAGTGTCAAAGTAAAAATAAATGAAAGTAAAATCATTTACTTCTCTTATTTGTAATTGATCTAAAAAAAGTGTTCAAAGCAACAATGCTAACAATGCATTCGGTGATTATAACATATAGATAAGAGAAGTGAATGACAACAATGTCACAAGGGGCCATAGAGAGAAATTGAGAATAGTCTTTATGAGACACCTATACTAATCATTAGTGGTGGTGTGATTTGAAAGTAAGTAGACTTATATTAGTTAAAAATGTTTATTATAAATTCTAGGGCAACTACTAACATTTTAAGTAAAATTGATACAATAATATTTGAAACAGAATGGAATTACATAAAATTCTAAGTTAAAACCAAGGAAAGCAGTAAAAGAGGGAGAATAAACCAAAGGAGATGAAATAAATAGGAAAGTCTCTAGTATAGTAGATATTAATCCAACTGTACCAATAGTTACTTTAAATGTGACTGGTTTAAATACACTTAGTAAAAACAGAGATTGTTAAGAGTGTTTGAAAAATAGGACTCAGCTATGTTGTCTATGAGAAATACACTTTAAATATAAAGTAAAAAATAGGTTAAAAATATAGAGATGGAGAAAGATATGCCACATTTAACTGATCAGAAGAAAGCTGAAGTAGTTATATTAATTTCAGACAAAGCTGACTTCAGAACAAAGAAGATCATGAGGGACAAAGAGGAGCATTACATCATGAAAAATTATTCAGTTCTCTAAGAAGATATAACAATCCTTGATGTGTATGTGCCTAACAAAAGAACATCAAAGTACATGAGGCAAAACTAATAGAAGTGCAAGGAGAAATAGACAAATCCACTATTGTATTTGGAGACCTCACTACTCCTCTGTTAGTAATTGACAGGTCAAACAGGAAGAAAATCAGTCTTGATCATGTGACCTGACCAGCATGATCCATCAACTTGATTTCATTGATATCTATAGAATGCTCCTACCAATAACAGCAGAATACACATTCTTCTCAAGGTCACAAGAAACATTCACCAATAAATGCCACATTTTGGGCCACAGAGAACTTAAAAGTATAGAAATCATAAAAAGTATGTTCTCAAATCACAATAGAATAAAACCAGAAACCGGTAACAGAAAGATAGCTGGAAAACATTCCCCAAGTATTTAGAAATTAAGTCACACACTTCTAAATAATACATGGGTCAAGGAAGTCTCAAGAGGAATTTTAAAACATTTTGAATTAAATGAATATAAAATAACAGATGCTGATGAGGTTGCAGAGAAAAGGGAATGCTTATACACTGTTGGTGGGAGTGTAAATTATTTCAACCATTGTGGAAAGCAGTGTGGTTATTCCTCAAAGAACTAAAAACAGAACTACCATCTGACCCGGAAATCCCACTCCCGGATATGTACCCAAATGAATATAAATTATTCTACCATAAAGACACATGTGCTTGTATGTTCATTGCAGCACTATTCACAATAGCAAAGAAATGGAATCAACCTAAATGCCCATCAGTGGTAGACTGAATAAAGAAAATGTGGTACATGTATACCATGGAATACTAGACAGCCGTAACAAAGTAAAAAATCATGTCCTTTACAGCAACACGGATGTAGTTGGAAGCCATTATCCTAAGTGAATTAAAACAGGAACAGAAAACCGAATACCACATGTTATCACTAATGAGAGGGAGCTAAATAAGGAGAACACATGGACAGAAAGAGGCGAACAACAGATACTGGGGAGGAAGGAAGGGGAGAGGAGAGAGAGATTCAGAGAAAAGAAACTGTTGGGCACTATGCTTAGTGCCTGGGTGATGAAAGAATCTGTACGTGAAATTTCCAAGTTGTGAGTTTGCCTATATAACAAACCTGCACATGTATCCCTGAACCTAAAATGAAAGTTAAAATATTTAATAAAAAAGAAAATTAAAATATGACATCAAAATTTGTAGGATGCAGTAAAAACAGTGCTTACAGGACATTTTATAGCATTAAATACATATATTCGAAAAGAAAAAAACACAAAGTTAACCATATGTCTTTTCCTTAAGGATTTTTGCTTGTAAGAATGATTATATTCAACATACTGAAAAATTTAGTGGTCTAGGACACTAGACCATTGTAAAACAGGTGTTCTTAGTTTATTTAATGCAAAATTTTACAAATTTAACTTTACAGAGCTTGCTTATTAAGGTACACAAAATTTTAGAAATTTAGTCTATTTTTTGCCATACATGCAAATACAAAACATTTGTGTGCAGATGGCTACCTTGAAGTAATGTCTAACTTATGAGTTAGACAACAGATAATTTTGCTATGCAAACCATGGCATGAAATAGAACAGAAGGCCTCAAGTTTTTGGTCTTAGGACTCCTTTGCTCTCTTACAAATTATTAATAACTCCAAAGAACTCTCATTTATATGGGTTATATTTATTGGTATCTATTATATTAGAAATTAAAACAGAAATGTTAAAAAGAATTTTTTCTTAAAAAGCAGTAAGTATACATGTTAACATATTTTAACAAAAAGTAACAATATTTTCAAAAACAAACATTTAGTGAGAAGAGCAATATTTTATTTTTGTAAATCTCTTCAATGTCTGGCTTAATACAAGGTAAGTGGATTCTCACATTTGCTTCTGCATTCCATCTATTGCGATACGTTGTTTTGATTGAAGTATGTGAAGAAGATCCAGCCTCTCACATTGAGAAAGAGTATTTAGTAACCTTTGTAGATAATTGTTATTATTCTGTGATACTACACCAAAACTCCACAAGCAGCAGTTTCTTAAAAGATAATTGCAATGCAGAATCTGAAACTATTACCAATGAAATTTTCCTGTTCGTCATACCATTACCTTAAAATCAACTATTCTGTTTTGCACTTCGAATGGACCTTTTACCCATGTCTGATTTTGTAACATCATGCATTGGTCATTTGGAAAATGTTGCTTCACTGAGTTAAATAGATTTTCCAAATGTTGACACATTTCATAAGGCAGTATCAACAGATCACATTCATTACTATCACACCAGTCTTATCAGAAAAGCCTTAAAGTATCGGGGAAGCTGTCAAGCTCACAGTGGCAGTTACAAATTTTCCAAAATTCTAAATTTTGTTTCAAAGCTGAACTTTTTTTTGTTGGCAACAAATACTCTCAGTTGTTTTCCCTGAAGTGACAAGTTCACTTTGTTCATTTTTGACAAAATGTCTGCCAAACACCTAAGTATAAATAACCTTAGTTTGTCAGTCATTCTTTCAAGTAAAATGGTGTTCCATGAAAAGAAAACCCAGCTAGTTCAGCTCTCAACTCAGATATCTGCATAGATGTATATTGTACTTGAGTAAGCAGCAAAGTGCTTTACGTATACCTCTCATTTTGTTGCACTCAGGGGTCGGGATTTAATACAATTAATATTATTTTACTGCTTCACCAGAACATTATTAAGTTACACTGGATTTTTTTTTCCTGTGAGTACACAGTGATGACAAATAGGACTACTACACAGTTTGGTGCCACTGCCTTGATTCAAACTAAGGTACTGGCACTTGTAGCTATAACTGCTTTTGAACCATCAGTTCAAATGATGATGCAATGAAAAAGGCAGATAATACCTTAGTATTTTTATGAAAATACTTTTGAACCCATGGCCTCTTTGAAGTATCTTAGGGACCCCCCAGAGGACTCCAGGGACTTTGAAAATTGCCCTGTAGGGACACCAAAGGAGGGAATAACAAAGGCTTTGTCAGCGATATCCAAATAATTCAGCGCCTGCCGTTTCTGCTACCTTCACAAGCTTATGATGGATTTCTGAGGTAGCATCTGCAGCTGTGGTAGAATGGAGAAGCTAAGAAAAAAGTAACCATAATACACAAATATCAGACAGTCTAATTTAATTATAAAGAAGTGAAATAAATTAAACAGCCTAGAGATTCAGGGTCACTATACAGAAGAGCAATTTTGCGGGTGACTCTTCTAGAAGGTAGTAGCAGGTAATGATCATCTTTGATGACTCTAGATTGATGGAGACGGTGGGAGGAGAAAATTGCTTTTTAGGGGGAATGTGGGAAGGGTCAACTAGCAATGGAGCCAAGGTCAGCATGGGTTTTGCCATTCCTGAATACACACAAAGCTAGTGGTTAATGACATTCTGGGGACAGTTTCATTTTGATGAAAAAGGAGGAGAGCACATCTGAGCTGACGTGACAGTGTTAAGAATGTGGCTAGTTCAGATATGTGTGGCATTGGGGTTCAGCTTGTTTTGTGCTTACAGTCATATTGCTGGGTGTATAAGAGATGGAACTTCCTCCCAGAAAGTGGTGAGTTAAAGGCAAGTGAAAATATTGTGCATTTCTGGATGTTTAAGGAGTCCATTAGAACAAGTACTGATACCAATCTGTAGCGGAAGTAAAAGTCTTTTCTTATTAGCAAGTGCAGTTCAGGAGATATTAACCAATACCACAGAGTCCTCCAGCCAGCTTTGATCCTCCTGAATTTTGTGGAGAAAAACATCTTGTAGGGTTTGAAGTCAAAGCAGAAGTGGCTGTAAACAAAATTAAAAAGTCGGGTTTTCAGGCTGTATCTGTAATAAGCTTTCAGCTGAAATGAAATGTAATTAGCAAGTACGATAATGCATTTTGCTTCATTTAGCTCTTCAGTGGGTTTATAAACAAATTCTGTCAGTTAACTCATAAAGCAGATGCATCCACTACACCCTGGCTAAGCATGTTATGGAAGACAGCCTCATGCAGGTGCAAGAACTACAACAGGAAGATCTGTTTATCAATTTACCAGTCAGGAATGTTGGCAACAATGAACATGCACCATTTTTAAATGTTCCCCAATGAAGAAGGTTAAGAAATATTATATCTGAGGGCCTATGAAAGAAAAGCTGAGCAGCAGCACTCAAATTCTCATAGTAAACATTGTTTATTTTGTAATGCTCCATGAAGACAACCTCAAGTGTCATCTGGTGTCCAAGACAACACTGAATGCTTATTACTCTTACCAAAATATTAGCAGTGACTGTGAGGTGGAATCAGAGGGTTTTTTTTTCAAACTTTTCTGTGTCTTTTTATATTGCCTTGGCAATGTAAAAAATTAATTTGGGAAAAGTGAATAAAAACAGAACTTTGGGCTCATCCCAGAAAATATTTTTTAAATACTAATGATTTTTTTAAAACATGTTTTAGCTTGTTTGAATTTAGGAAAATGAAAGCCTGTATTCTGCCACATACTGCCAGACCTTAAAGATATATTAATACAGCCCCTATATCAAAGGGCCCGGAACCTAATGGGTGAGGCAAACAGAGGGTAGATCACTTACAATGTCCCAGGGAGGACTGAGCAGAGGCCATGGGATCTCAAGAAAAGGAAGACTAACTTTCCAGAAGAATTGAGGAAGTCTTCACAGAGCAGATGAAGACATTTCAATTAGATCTGTAAAAATACTTAATAGGGATAAAAATGAAAGTGATAAAAATATTGGGAACTAAATAGTACCTTGATTCTTACAGAGAAGGTGTTTAGTATTGCCATTCATAATATTTTCTAGAAATGCACATAGAAATTCTGAAATGTCTAGATTCTTGCCATATTAACTACCAGTAATAATAGGGTAAATGTTAAAATTTCTTTAACACTGAGCATCTACATGTTCTGATCCTTGTCATGTATTCTTATTTTAACTCTTAGGAAGTTTTCTTTCAAAGATTGATAGACATATGAATAATTATTGTGCATTTCCTTTTTTTTTTTTTTTTCCACACAGAGTCTCACTGTCGCCCAGGCTGCAGTGCAGTGACATGATGATGGCTCACTGCAGTCTTGACCTTCTGGGCCCACACAGTCCTCCCACATCAGCCTTCTGAGTAGCTGGGAGGGATTACAGATGCACACCACCCTGCCTGACTAGTTTTTCTTTTTGTTTGTTTTTTTTTGTTGTTTTTTTTTTTATATTTTTTATAGAGACAGGATCTCACCATGTTGCCCAGGCTGGTCTTGAACTCCTGGTCTCAAGCCATCCTGCTGCCTCAGCTTCCGAAAGTGCTGGGATTACAGGCGTGAGCCACTGTACCTGGCCTGTTGTGCATTTTCAATGTAAAGCCATGAGCCTTGATCTCACTCAAAGAATCTTCATTCATATTTTTCCTATTAGAGCATAAATTTTCATATGTGCAATCCATATTTATAATTTTCAGAGTGCTTTCATGTTTATATGGTCATCTTTCTATCCCTTATGTCTTACTTCATCCATAATAATATCTCCAACATGACTTTTAGCTCTTAGAAACTAAAATCTCTAGAAGATAGTCTTTTTCCCTTCCCCCATAGCTAAATTCTATGATCCAGACCCAGATTATTGCAACAGTTTTGATTGTTTTGGGCATGGCGCCTGACTAACTGTGTGTTAAATAAATGTTCCTTTTCTCTTCCTCTCATGATGATCATGTTCTTTAAGACCCAGCTCAACTTAGCAGAACAAGGAATCCCTTTTCCCTCACCCCAACCCACATGGATTGTTCTCTTAATTTTACACAGTGTCAACTCTTCTCATGTACTCTTTCCTACTCCCTATCCTTCTCAGATGTTTTGAATCCACTCCTAGGCAACTTACAGGCACTATAATGGATCAATGTTTTTTCAGCTCCATCAGGAGTTCTGGTGGAATCCTGCTTAGGAATGCTACGCCGAATTGTTTTCTGGTCTTTGGCCACTAGAGAAATGGAATCACTGGGAATGAGGCATCACTGGGACAGTTTATCCCTCATGAGGACCCTGATGCCCCGATACCTGAGGGACGTTTACTATGACTTCCAGGCAAATTCCTGGGGCTTGTGCTCTTTTTTGTTCCCAGCAGATCCCAAACTAGGAATGTGCTTCTCATGTTCTCTGGCAGACTTCTTACAACCACTTCCTGGGATCATAGCACTCACTCTGTTTTCCTGGACTTGGTTTCAGTTCCCATGTTCCCTAGATGAGACCTCCATGGGGCCCTCACCTGTGGTGGATGTGGCCAAGCTCTGCTACTTCCAGGCACTGTTTTATGCTGTAGTGCACCTTGACCTCCACCACCAGCAGCTACTCTTTCACCATATCCCCTTAAGTTCCTGCTGATTCCCTCTCTCCTGCTTCCCTGCCACCACCAGCTGTCAATTGCCACCCACCCAGTCCAGACAAGCTATGGCCTTTCCTAGCAATCTTGCCTTTCCTCAGCACCAGGGGCTAGATCCACTGTAATCTTGGCCTTTCCTCATTGTCATGTTACAATGGTAACACGAACGGGAGCCACAAAGAACCACCACCTAGAATCAGGTCTAAAACAAATCAAATTGTGCCATCCTCAGATATCCACGAATGCTAGTTGAGAGTTTTCCCATGAGTTAAGTAGCATCTTCTGCACAGTGTTTCAGGAAGGAAGTTGTACAACTGTTTTTATGCTAGGAGCCAGGGATTCCCAGAGCTCCTCTACTGTAATTCAGAATGCATTAGTACCGCAGTGAAAGCTCTTCCTTTACATATCACCAAGATAATTTTTAAACCCAAAGTGTGTGTTTGTTTTTAGAGGAGGATCACAGTTACTATACATGAAAAACATTTTATTTGTATCTCCCCAACGATTGCTGAGGTGAGTGTAAAACACTTGGACAACTATTTCTGTAAAGTGATGGTCTTTTTTAGAAATGAGACTTTTCTGTACTCCAAATAATTCTAAGTGAGAACCCTTCTTCAAGAACTACAATTTTTTTTTTATCAAGAGCTGCAGTTGTATGAGTGACATACATTTTATTCCTAATGCAAAAATTTTTGCCATACTTATGATAATTGAAATACCAAATTATTTTACATGAATATTTTTATGAGGAAGAGATAACTGATTTTTAGTTTGAGATGAAAATTAGAAGAGAAATGCTATTACAATATGCAAAAGTACTTTGTAACTATGATCCAGCAAATAAATACACAATGGTGTTATTAGTGGAAGTAGTTCCTAAATAAGCTACTTTTGATATGGTATGAAATTCAAGGAGGCCTTCATGGTAGGGAAAAAAGTGGATTTCAAATTAGCGTTTTGTTTACTTTATAAATTAACATTTTTAATTTAAGAAATTAGGTTATACAATCTTTTATCCTTTCTTTTTTCTTTTGTCTTCTAAAAAGATTGGGAGGAGGGAAGGAATGTCTACAAGCTGCTATATCCTGAAAACTTTTCCCATTATGCAATGTTAGCCAAACCCTGGGACATGGAGTAAAAAAGTGATTTTGTATCATAAGGGATGAGGTCAGTTACCTAATCACCATCCAATACACTTTATTCTTTCTTCCAAACCAAAATGAGTTGCAGGATAGACTGTATTGGCAATAGATGTTTCATTTGTGTTGCTTAAGTTTTTGAAATATATTTTGGGTAAATTGCATTAAATTTATTAGGTACGGGAATATATTTTAGAATACAATATCTAAGGTTATCAAATGGTATATATTTCAATGTTTGGTGCAGAAAGCCACGGTGGTAGTATGCTGCTGGTGGGTATAGGATGAGAAGACATCTCTCTCTTCCATACTCTAGCACTTTAATATGTATGTGCATCACATGGAGAGCTTGATGACTGCAGATTCTGAATCAGTAGGTCTGGAATGGGTCTGAGATTCTGCATTTCTAACAAGCTCCCAGGTGATATGAATGCTGCTAGTCTAGGGACCACACCTAAAGTAGCAAGCCTAGATGTCAAAATTGTTTTATCCCAGATTTAGAAAGTGTCTTGCACAAATTTTGTAGGTTGTTTTTGAATCAAGATGGCATGCCTGTCTGATGTATCTTACAACTAAGTTTTGCTCATTTCAGTCTTCTCAAATTTGTCCAGAATTATTGGGCAGGGTTGGGCATGGTGGGTAATGCCTATAATCCCAGCATTTTGGGAGGCTGAGGCGGGCAGATTGCTTGAGTCCAGGAATTCAAGGCCAGCCTGGGCAACATGGTGAAACCCAGTCTCTAGTAAAATTACAAAAATTAGCCAGGTGTGGTGGCACGCCTGTAGTCCCAGATACTTGGGAGGCTGATGTAGGAGGATTGCTTGAGCCTTGGAGGCAGAGGTTGAAGTGAGCTGAGATCACGCCACTGTACTCCAGCCTGGGTGACAGAGTGAGACCCTGTCTCGAAACAAAACAACCCCACAAAATTATTGGGCAAATGAGCATACATACAATGGGCAATTGAGGTTTAATAACATGAAGCCAATCTGACTGCACAAAACTTCTATACATATACCATAAATTGTCCCTGAGAGATTAAAAAGCAGTTCTGAGTCCACTGGATTTGAACCTGGGAATACGAGTTTTACAAATCAGCAAAATACAGAAACATCATCCTGCAAGGAGCTGATATCATGAACCATACATATTCCTATTGTGAGAATTACTGGCAAAAGCAGAAGGAAAACAAAAACCCTTTGTAGATTTTAATTATTTCCAAAGAGTAACAACAACAACAAAAAAGAACTCAGAACATGCCATCTGGGGATGTGGAATTTAGAACAAATGAGGTTTGCTTTCTAAGAATGGCACTCAGGAGAGAAACCAACAGCTAAGCAGGGTATAACTGAGAGCTAACAGTCTGCATATTTTGTTATCTCATGAAAAGCATAATTTACCAGTTGTGGCAATAATAACAATGATAACGATGTGAATTAATAAACTTGCTAGTGAAACCACCATTCAAATACACGTTGGGTAATTTAATTAGCCTTGGCTGCACTTTCTCTGTCAATCCCAAACTTACAGGGATTGAATTGTTAAGTACATTTCTCACTCTGTGATTCTGAGAAGTTTATTTTTACCTGGCAAATTATTTTAAATGTGAGACAAAGCAGGGCTGCAGTGGTAAAATCACATAGGAAGCCCATGTCCCTGTTCCCCAAGCCTGGGCCCTCGCTACCCGCACCCTGGTACACAAAAAGCTGGTGTGAATTTCAGATCCTGGGTCTGCTCTAAATCATGGGAACCAGAGAAATTAGAAGTGACACCGTTTACCCAGGGGCCTTTGCCGCAGAATATTTTTTTTGGAACTTTTACATCAGTCTCAGAACTCACTGGCTTCATTAAGTCACGTGTCATTGTGTTAGGAAGGAAGGCAAGAACACGTTATTAGCTAGGGATTTTTTTCCCTTTCCCTCCGCCATCCTCCTTTCTCATTTCACTTCATTGCATGTTTCCCTTCCCTCTCTTCCCCTTCAAGGTATGCATTATATATCTTTCATCTCAGGGCTCTTTATGTACCAACCTGAGTTAACTTTCTTGGTGCACATACGAGGAAATACGTTTCTTTATGTTCACAGAGTTTTGGAAGAGAACTCTGTGGCACTGGTTGAGGGATGGTTTATGGGTCATCATTTTACTTCCCTGTTGGTATATTCTTGCCTTTCTTTTACCCACGTCTTCTTCCTTTCCTTTTAAAGCTTACATTTTTAGAGTAAGGGACAAAATCATGAGCAATAACTTTTTTTTTTAAGGAGGAGGAGGACGACTGTCATTGAAACTAATATGTCTGCTTGATAACAAAAAACTGTCCTAACCTCCCACAGAACACAAGCCCCAGGGGCTGGGAAGAACAAAGCCACCCTCTGAAAGGAGAAAGGAGAGGGGAGGGCTTGGGGGAGTCATGTGCAGCTTCTCATCACTGTGGCACCAGCCAGAGCCCACAAACCATTTTATCATCCTCTGGCCCCAAGAGATCAAGGAAGGCACTGTTTGGAAAGTTGCCTCCAAGGAAGTCTTTTGTTTGTCCTGGTGGCTTTCCCTGCCTTTTCCTAGGATACTCAGCCTGGTCTGAGTCAAAGGAAGCTGCCAGGACCCTTCTTTTTCTTTCTGGTTTAGTTTGGGTGGTGGTCTTCATTGAGCACTTCCTGACTTGTTTCTATGCCTTCCTCTCCCCCGTGTAAACTGGGAATCTTGTACTGGTAGTTGGGAATAAGAAGAGACCATTTTCTCTTTATATTGAGGACTCATTTCACCTCCAAGTCAAAAGCAACTTTGTCTATTGTTTGCAGAAACTTTGCATACTCTATGGTTTTGAAAATGAAAAAAAAAAATAAATGCTTTAGGCCTAAGGAGGTACCTGTGCCCAGAGAACTGTTTTATCACTGTCAAAAGTCATATCAATGTCTGAAAAATACACTTCACCTAAATATATAATGGTGAGTGATATTATTTTCTACATTGCTAGTAAAGAAATATTGTTTAAAAATAATAAAGTTTGACAGGGGTTGGTTTGAGGTCATGGGAATGACTGCTAATAGGTATGAGGTTTCTTTTGGGGGTGATAAAAAGATTTTAAAATGAATTGAGGTCATGGTTGTGCAACCCTGTGAATATACTAGAATACATTGCATTGTGCACTTTACAGCAGTGGTCCCCAACCTTTTTGGCACCAGGGACCAGTTTTCTGGAAGACCATGTTTCCATGGACTGAGGGATGGTTTCGGGATGAAACTGTTCCACCTCAGATCATCAGGCATTAGTTAAATTCTCATAAGAAGCGCACAACCTAGATCCCTTGCAAGTGTAGTTCACAATAGGGTTGGCGTTCCTATGAGGAGTTAACGCGCCTCTGATCTGACAGGAGGTAGAGCTCAGGCAGTAATTCTGGCTTGCCTGCTGCTGACCTCCTGTTATGCAGCCCAATTCCAGCCTGGGGCCAGGGGTGGAGACCCCTGCTTTATAGGATCACTTGGAGACCTTTTTAATTTTACTAAGGTCCAAGCCCTACCAAACATCAAATGAAAAAGAGGTGAGAAGAGGCCATCAGTATATTCTAAATATCCTCCTTCTTCTTAAAAATCTGAGTTGAACATTCAGATGGTTCAAAATCACAACAATGTAAAAGAACTCACTTCCAGTCTTCTCTCTATCCGAGTTGTACCCGGCCTCCACTCTATACAGAAGTAACCACTTTTATTAGTTTTTGTGAATCTGCACGTGCACTCGCAAATGCCTCAGGATCACTTGGAGGGTTTGTTAAAACACAGACAGCTGGGTCCCACCCACAGAGTTTCCAATTCTTTAGGTCTGGTGCAGGGCCCAGAATTACATTTCTAACCAAAAAAAAAAAAAGGAGTCAGGACTAGACAAGATCAATGATGAGAATAAGAAAAGGGAGGGGTAATTGTTTATATAAGAGCCTGAGATTGGCACGCAGAGAAGGTTTAAAGGAGCAGTGGGGATGAGAGTGGTTAAGGAAGATGTGTTTTCCTTAGACAAACTTGCAAAGGAAGGGCCAGGGTCAAGACATTCAGAGACTTGAGGCTGGAGAAGAATCAGCCACCCGTAGTGCACTGTTCAATATGGCAGCCACCAGCAGTCTGTGGCTGTTGAGCAATTGAAATGTGGCTAATCTGATTGAGGACATATATTTTTAATTTAATTAAGTTTAATTAATTGAAATGGATATGGAAAAACTGATATTTCATTCAGTTAATGAAAACTTTTAAGTATGCTTCGAACAACTTGGTATAAATCTGTGTTTTCAACTGTAAGTTTTATGATATTTAAATACAGATCAAATAATTCCCATGAAAATCTAGCATCTGAATTGAGATGTTCTAGAAGCATAAAATATATTCAAGATGTTGAAAATCTAGCATGAAATAAGATTGTAAAACATCTCATCAATAATTTTTATGTTGACTACATAATGAAATAATAATTTTTTAATATAATGGGTTAAATATATTAATTAAATAAAAGTAATGTTATTAATCATATAAAAATAATTCCTGTTCATTTTTACTTTTTTAATGTACTTACTAGAAAATTTGAAATGATATATGAAATAATTATATTTTTATTGGACAGCACTGATTTATACCTGTGGCATGGAATAGAGTAGCTATTAGCTATACGTTGCTATTTAAATTTAAGTTAATTAAAATAAAATAAAATAAAACATCCAGTACCTCAGTCTTACTAGCTACAATTTTAGTGTGCAATAGCTGTACATGCCTACTGGCTACCATATTGCATAATGCAAATATAAAACACTGACATCATCGCAGGAGTTCTATTGAGCAGCTTTGGTCTATATCTTTTCAGTGAATTAAGAGAAGAGGTCCTGTCCTAGGGGTGATGTTGAGAATTCGGAGGAGAGAAATAAAGGTATGAAATGGCGGATGTAGAAATGCTTCAGGGCATCTACAAGAGATGAGTAGAAGGATTGGAAGTGTAGCCAGAAAACCCTCACAAAAGCGAGGCAGTTGAAGATTGACAGAGACAGAGCATGGCAGCATGTCCAAAAAGTCTACATAAGAAGTGCCCTGTTTAATAGGCTAACCAGAAACTCCAGGTTAGGGAAGAAGAGGACAACAAACCCAAAAGGGGACAGAGGTGAAGCATATTGTGAACGTCCAAGGGAAAAAATGAAGATCACAATGAAAGCAACAAACAAAACAAAGTTTGTTAAACGTAAGTGAGAAATGAAAGGGGTGAGATGCATCATCTGATAAGAGAAATAATAGGAGAAATGTTTAAGTTTGTGTCATTGGGGTGGAACAATTTCAAGGGGTGATGGAGGCTAAGTTTTGACTACATCAGAGGGTAGTTGAGTTTGGAGTTGATAATGAAGGAGCCAGCATATTTGAATGTCAACAACATTCAATAGTTTTTGAGGATGATAGCTGGTAGAAAAGATAGGGAGAAGACTGGGCAGGTGCTGAAGGTGGAAGAGTATCCAGGAGTTGGTGGGTGGCTGTGGTCAGGAAAGGGAAATGTTGAATAAGCTAATGGTCTGAACCGCAACAAAAGCTGTAAAGAGAGGAGAACGATGATCAGAGTGATGTGGGGAACCAAGAAATATGCTGATTTACGACACTGCCCTGAACTTCCTTAGTAAAATGTGATCTTTCCCTCTTTTGAACCCTGGGGCATTTTGCACTCCTCAGGTAAAATTTTTTATGCTTTGAACTGTGACTATTTATATAGTAATCTAAGCCCCGCCTCTTACTCCTCTTCCCTACCAACTTCCCTGATCCCCAACCACTGCCTCCATCAGATACACCATATATACTCTCGTCAGACTGGAAGTCCTTTGAAAGTTGGAACAATGTTTTCCTCATTTATTCCAGTTTCTAGATCTCAATAAGTTTATGTCAAACTAAGTTTGGTTGAGATTCTTGCAAGCAAAAATATATAGAGAGAGACTGGATTTATAAGTTTAGGTGAAAATTAGAAGAACATCTGTAGTGAAACATCACATAGCTCTGCCCTCTGTGTCTTCGTGTTCATTATTTTGTCAAAGATTTGAATGAAGGCATCCTTAGGCAAATAACACAAAGCTGAGCCACAGTTCATCTTCACAGATTGTTAAGCAGAAGCAGCCTATTGGCAACATAGAGGATAGATTCATGATAAAATGGGATCCAAGAAGAATGGTATCAGCACCTCAGTATCATTTAAACAACATCTCTCTTTTTTTTTTTTTTTTTTTTGAGATGGAGTTTCACTCTTGTTGCCCAGGCTGGAGTGCAATGATGTGATCTTGGCTCACTGCAACCTCCGCCTCCCAGGTTCAAGCAATTCTCCCACCTCAGCCCCTGGAGTAGCTGGGATTACAAGCATGTGCCACCACATCCGGCTAATTTTTTTTTGGGGGGGGGGTATTTTTAGTAGAGACGGGGTTTCTCCATGTTGGTCAGGCTGGTCTCGAACTCCCGACCTCAGATGATCTGCCTGCCTTGGCCTCCCAAAGTGCTGGGATTACAGGTGTGAGCCACTGTGCCTGACCCCAACAACATCTTTTTTTTTTTTTTTTCTCACAAAGCACTGTGCTGAGCTCTGCATATGGACCTGGCATGGCAGTAGTCCCATGGTGGAGTGCTAATCGTGCAATGTAGAACTATGAAGGCAAAAATGCAAAGCAGTAAATCTCAATGACCTGGTCCTCAGAACAGTGCCTACTAGTTGACTTGGGCAATCATTGTTAGAGCAAACTAAAAGTTTAGGACACAAACTGCCAAATAGGAGAAGCTAACATTCATCTACATAAGGACAACAGTTTGAGCCCTGTGACTGATATTTTAATTCCTCAGCACCCAGAGGTCAGGGCTATATATGCCCGGAATGGATCAGTTACGCAAATATAATGGTAACATAGAGCATGTGCCTGAAGCAACATGTCAGTCTGTGTCATCTTGGATGTCCCAGGAACTACACGTGATGTATGCCAGGATATCCAAAATACTAACATTGACTTCCTCCTGACTGCCCTTAATATCCTTTCGAGGGTAATTAACAATTTGGCAAAATTGATTTTGAAAAGAGGGGAAACAAAGACAAAATTTTATTTACTTTTTTTCTTCTCTTTCTCTAAGATCTGTTTCCCTCTGTACTCCTTACAGTTCAATTTCATGCTGTAAATAATTTTGTCTCATTTTGTTCTTGAATTTGGGGTAACTCTATAGTGTAAGGGCCATCTGGACACATTTGTTGTGACTCTCCTATCTACATTTGCATAACCTGGATCATCAACAGGAAAATGCAGCCTGAATTCTGCACAGAGAATGGCAAACCCCAGGCAGTGAAATGGAAAAACTTAGTCGGCCCAGGGACGCCTCCATTTTGGGCTGCAAATTTGGATATTTGGAGCCAAATTCTCATTCCATGTGACTCCAGGGGAGCTTTGGTCAGCGTGTAATTCAGTGTGGGTTGGGAAAGGAAAAGACAGAAGAACATGAAACTGCCAAGTTTGAGGCCCCATTACGCAGTTGTGACCTGACCGAAAATACCGTGCCGAGTTGTGTGTGGGTAACTCAGCCATAAAAAAGGCAGCTGTGGTCTTATTAGTCGTGAACTTGAGATCATTTTAGTAAAAGATGAATTGCCCCTAAATGATTGATCTGGTGTTTGGAGGAAATGCTGTTCTCTGTGCTTCTCTCAAATGGAGAAACTAACCAGACGCTTGTCCCACACCCAGAATGGGTATTTGTGGTGTGGCTTGTACCATGGCCTGCTGGGGAATGATGACCTTGGACTGACAGTTCCCCTTTAAGTAGCAAACTTGTGTTTTTCATCTTAACACGATATGCCAGAGGCACTGAATAACAACCTACATCCTTTCACACACCACATGTCTGCTCCGGGTTTAAGCTGATAAAAGCTGGAGAGAGTGTGTTCTGAGTGGTCTGACTGAGGCTGGAAATGGGGATATTCAATAAGAGATTGCAGGCCCTCCTTTTTCGCCCTCAGGCCCCCTCGAAGAAAATCATAGAGATGCTCTGTGAGCTTGGACTCAAAATAGTTTAAAATTTCAAGCCAAGGGGAATGTCCGTCCCCTTTTTTTTGTGAGGTTTTGCAGCAAAATAACCTGTTTTGTTTGCCTGAGAGATTAGATTTGTCAGCTTCGGCATTGCATGGGAAGGTCTGACCTTGAGAATTACGGGGCTCTCAGGACAATCAGCCATGGAGGAGAAAAGCAAGCCTTTTCTTGCTTGCTTTTGCAAGCTGGGATCAGTGGGCCAGACTCTCTCCGATAAGAACCCAGAAGGGGAGAGCCTGGGCATCGGGGAGGCCAGCCTACTAGCCTCTGTCTTCTCCTGAGTCACAGAAAAATCAAAACCTGGGAGCAGATGCTGGAACACAGACACCATACCCTTTTATTTCTGTTCCAAAAGAAATAGAGGTAGAGGATGGCTTTTCTTCCTATGCTGCCTCTTAACCTATACCACGGTGCTAGATTTTCTTCCGAAACTTCTCCCTACCTGTTGGCCCTTCCAGCCTTACTGGGGGACCAAGGAGAAGGAGGAAGAGACTAGAGAGTAACCCACCAGGATTGAGGTTACTTTGGTCTTGAAAATGCAGATTATTTTCAGGTGTGAACTGAAAATAAAGAAGTCAAGTGTTATATCAGCTATTTGGTGAGAATAAAAGCTTTGAGAATGTCTCCTGTTTGTATAGCATTTAATTACCTACCCAACAGTTTCTGCTGTTTCATCATCTGATTCTCACAAAAGTTCTATGAACTAGATCAAGCAGGTGTTATTCCCCAATTCTACAGATGAGAAAACTGAGCCCCCAGCTGATTTTGTAGCCAGAAATCACAGAAATATGTGGCAGAGCAAGCGTGGTCTAGGAATTTTGTCATTCTACACAGTTTCCTGCCAAAGTCTTATCTCATTGCAAAATAACACAGTATGATGAGTGACCCTTGGCATACTCTGTCATCATATCTTCATCTGTATGTATGTATGTATGATCCTACTTCAGCTTTGGTCATCTCAGCTGGGATGATTATAACATCTTTCTTGTGGCTGCCTCAAGCTTCCCTTCTTGCAATCCATCAAAATATTTCCCAGCAGGATCTTCTTGGCAGACCATTTTGGACTGAAGTGGGTTTCACTTCCCATGAGATAAGAGCCGAATTTCTAATTAAGAAGTCTATCAAGAGGCCCCTTCTTTCCCCCGTCTTCTTTCCTTGCAAGTACATGACTGTTAGGTGCTCCTTCTCACTCCGTCACCAAATAAGCTTGCTCTTTTTAATCTCTGCATGTGATCTAAAACTCTCGGAATAACCCCCCTTACCTGCATGGATAAGTGTGTACCTATACACACCTTTACCTTTTTGGCTAGCATAGGAAGGCTTTGAGATCTTTTCAGGACACTGGTTTTTGTTTATTTTCATTTTGTCTAAACACAGGAAACTTTCAAAATCTCAGCTATGTGGAGGGTCTCATCCTGATGACTCCCTCTGCCTGGAGTGTTCTGTCACCAGATATTAACATGGCTTGTTCCCTCACCTCCTTCGAGTCTTCACTCCAACTTCATTCCTCAGTGATCCCTCTTCCTCATCACCAACCTATTTAAAAAATCTCAACCCACCCACTCCCACTTCACATCTCCAATCCCACTTACCTTGATCTACCCTTTCTTTTTCCGTAGTATGTATCCCCTCCTAAAATACTGTGTAATTTACTCATCTGGTCTGTCTGCTGTTGATTGGTCTGACTCTTCTTTCTAGAATTAAGTCCTAAGAGGAGAGGAAATTGGGTTTTTATTGTTCACTGATGTATCCTAAATGCCTAAAGCAACGCCTGGCAGATAGAAAGTGCTCAAAAAAAATAGTTTTGTTGAATCAATGAAATTTCTGTCCTCTGTAAATATTACCTCCCTTCTTCAACCTTCAAGATTGTTCCCATTCCTCTCTGCCAGTCACTAGTTTCTTCACACCCAATTACATGAGACCAATAATTATTTCCAGTGCATAAAAATCTAGGTGCCAGTTTTCATATCTTGATAAAATGTGAAATGCTTCACCCCCTCCATCCTTTGTGACCCTTCTCCCTGCTCTCTACTTTCTGTCACAATAATTGCCAGCACATGTGTGTTACATGGAATGTTGTGTATAGGTCAGTAGATATCACTGGGTTAAAGTAAGGAAAAGAAAAGTTATTCAATGTTTGCAAGCACAAGGACAGAATCATTTGTGGTGGGGGTATTTGGATAATGGCAGCACATACTAGGCCATGCAGGCCATTGCATGTACAGTATTAGCTTATAAACTTTCCCTTACCATATGAACCAGTTGTTAGGGGAATGATGGAGTGGGGGGATGATATAAAACATCACCTCATTTACTAAAGAACTGAATAATTCGCAAAGAGATACATACCTGCCAAGCTAATCAGAATAATGACACTGGTTCACTTGATCATTGCCTTCTCAGTAAGGCAGTCTGCTTGGGAAACTAAATTATGAACTGAAGGGCTGCGTGATGAATATAAATTCAGAGAAAAGGAAATTGGTAGTGACTAACTGGCAGCAGTGATATCCCAACTCCAGTAATTAGAGATATGGACAGTGGACCAAATGGTCACATCAGTGGTCACAGTATCCTCAGCCTACACATGCCACAGACACAGTGGCATAGGCTGTCAGCCTTAATTCTCTTGTTCTTGACTTAATGACAACATTATACTTTTGTTATACTCATCGCTCTTTCACTCATTCTTATTTTAATATGCACATGGACTTTATATATTAAAATTTCAGTTTATAAGTTTCCAGTTTATTATATAGGCTGATTATATTTTATGCCCATTGCTAAGTGGTAATAATGGCAGAAACTTTCCACTCCAGCCCCGAATTTGAGTAAGAATAATATGGGGTGACTTTCCCTCAACACTATACCTTCAATACATGCATCCAATGCCATTGCCAATGGCATTAGAGAATGGATTACTACTACGATCTATGCAGATTACGTAAACTGTGATTTGCCTCAACCACAGAATTCACCATTCTGGCACTGGCCTATACTGCGTGTTCTCTAATTTCAAATGCTATATCCATCCTATATGATAATTGTCCTTGTATCATCTGGCCTAATGCCTTCTGTCTCTTAAGTACAGTAAACGTTCTTACGTGTTTTAAAATGAATGCAAGTATGCCTCTCCATCTACATATATACCTGTGCATAGCCTAAGTGAGACATGAAAGGCAAGCATCACAAATGAAAGGACTAGCAGATTTGACTACTGTCAAATATACTAGAGACTGAAAAACAGTAGTCTTATTATCTCAACATAATAAACGTTAACTAAACATATAACATATTGGGAGAATATATATGCCACATATTTAACAGACCAAACTTAACACATATGGGAGGAAATATTCACCATGACTATTTGTTACTATCCCAAGCATACAAATATTTATGTTAATTTAAAAAAAGACAACTATCAGGGAACAGCAAAGTATGTAAATAGGCAATTCTCAAAATAAGAACTTCAAATGTCCAGAAATATGAAGTTTCCCCATCTCGCTAGTGATTATAGACATATGTGCTAAAATTTTTAATACATATCTAACCCGAAAGATAAAGAATTTCATTACTTTGAAGAGTTCAACTATACATATGTTGAAAAGAATGTAGAGAAAGGGACAATCTCAAACTCCATGTCTAGAGTATAATGGCAACATTTTTTAAAGTTGTCTTTTAGAGCACTTTTACCTTTGCATCAAAATTGAGAGGAAGGTACAGAGATTTGTCATTTACCCTCTGTCCCAACAAGCATAGCATCCCCTTTTATCAATATCCTCCCACCAGAATGGTACATTTGTTACAACTGATGAATCTACACTGACACTTTATCACTCAAAGTCCATAGTATACATTAAGGTTCACTCTGGGTGTTGTACATTCTACACATTAGGACAAATGTATTATGATATGTATCCACCATTACAGTATCATGGAAGAGTATTTTCACTTCCCTAAAAGTTCTCCATGCTCCACCTATTTGTCTCTTCCTCCCAGAGCTCCTACAAACCACTGATCTTTTTATTGTCTCCATGGTTTTACCTTTTCAAGAATGTCATATATAGTTGGAATCATACAGTATGTAGGCTTTTCAGATTGGCTTCTTTCACTGGAAATATGCATTTATGTTTCTTCCACATCTTTTCATGGCTGGGTAGCTCGTTTCTTTTTAATACTGAATAATATTCCATTGTCTTTACACAACACAGTTTACTTATTCATTCACTTATTGAAGGACATCTTGGTTCCTTCCAAATTTGGGCAATTATGAATAAAGCTGCTATAAACATGTATGTGCATGTTCTATAAGTTTTCAACTCCTTTAGATAAATACCAGAGTGTGATTACTGGATCCTATGGTAAGAATATGTTTAGTTTTGTAAGAAAGCATTAAACTGTCTTCCAAAGTGGCTGTACCATTTTATATTTCCACCATCAATGAATGAGAGTTCCTGGTTCTCCACACTCTCACCAGCATCTGATGTTGTCAGTGTTCTGCATTTCAGCTATTCTAATAGGTGTGTAGTAGTATCCTACTGTTGTTTTAATTTACACTTCCCTGGTAATATAAGAGGTGGAGAATCTGTTCATATGCTTATCTGCTATCTGAATATCCTCTTTATTGAGTTGTCTGTTTAGGTCTTTGGCCCATTTTTTAAATTAGGTTGTTTTCTGACTAACAGGTTTAAGAATTCTTTGTCTATTTTGGATAACACTCTTTTATCAGACGTATCTCTTGAAAACATATTTTCTCCTGGCTTGTGACTTGTCTTTTCATATTTGAGACTGTCTTGCAGAGAAGAAATTTTTAATTTGGATGAAGTCCAACTTATCAGTTCTTTCTTTGTTGGATCATGATTTTGGTGTCATATCTCTAAAGTCATTGGTTATCTAGATTTTTTCTTATGGTATCTTCTAGGAGTTTTATACTTTTGCACTTTCCATTTAGGTCTGTAAATCCATTTTGAGTAATTTTTGTGACGTATATAAGGCCTTTCTTTAGGTTCTTTTTTTTTAAAAGAAAAAGATTTTTGTATTATTATACTTTAAGTTCTAGGGTACATGTGCACAACATGCAATTTTGTTATATAGGTATACATGTGCCATGTTGGTTTGCTGCACCCATCAACTCATCATTTACATTAGGTATTTCTCCTAATGCTATCCCTCCCCCAGTCCCCGACCCCGCAACAGGCCCCAGTGTGTGATGTTCCCTGCCCTGCGTCCCTGTGTTCTCATTGTTCAGCTCCTACTTATGAGTGAGAACATGTGGTGTTTGGTTTTCTGTCCTTGTGATAGTTTGCTTACAATGATGGTTTCCAGCTTCATCCATGTCCCTGCAAAGGGCAGGAACTCATCCTTTTTTATGGCTGCATAGTATTCCATGGTGTATATGTGCCACATTTTCTTAATCCAGTCTATCATTGATGGACATTTAGGTTGGTTCCAAGTCTTTGCTATTGTGAATAGTGCTGCAATAAACATATGTGTGAATGTGCCTTTATAGTAGCATGATTTATAATCCTTTGGGTATATACCCAGTAATGGGATTGCTGGGTCAAATGGTATTTCTATTTCTAGATCCTTGAGGAATTGCCACACTGTCTTCCACAATGGTTGAATTATTTTACACTCCCACCAACCTTGTAAAAGTGTTGCTATTTCTCCACATCCTCTCCAGCATTTGTTGTTTCCTGAATTTTTAATGATCATCATTCTAATTGGCGTGAGATGGTATCCCTTTGTGGTTTTGATTTGCATCTCTCTGATGACCAGTGATGATGACCATTTTTTCATATGTCTGTTGGCTGCATAAATGTCTTCTTTTGAGAAGTGTCTGTTCATATCCTTTGCCCATGTGGATATCCTTTTTGCATGTGGATATCCGGTTGTTCTGGCACCATTTGTTGAAAGACTGTATTTTCTCCATTGTATTGACATTGCCCTTTTGTCAAATATCAGTTGATTATATTTATGTGGGGCTCTTTCTGGGCTCTCTGCTCTTTTCCATTGATCTCTTCATACTCTTTCACCAATACCATAGTGTCTTGATTACTTCAGCTTTATAATATGTCTTGAGGTTGGTAATATTTGCTCTCCGTCAATATTGTGTTGTGTATCCTGGGTCTTTTTGCCTTTCCATATAAATTTTACAGTTTGTCAACATCCACAAAATAACTTGCTGGGATTTTGATTGAGATTATATTGAAGGTATATATCAGGTGAGAAAAACTGATATCTTGACAATAACTGAGTTTTCCTACCTATGAACATAGTATGTCTTTTCATTTATTTATAAAACCTTTTTTATTTCCTTCATCAGAGTTTTGTAGTTTTTCTCATATAAATCTTGTATATATTTTGTTAGATTTATACCTAACTGCTTCATTTTTGGAGGTCCTAACATAAATGGTATCATGTTTCTAATTTCAAATTTTACTTGTTCGTTGCTGGTATATAGGAAAGTGACTGACTTGTATATTAACCTCACATCCTGCAACTTTGCTATAATCACTTATTATGGAGGTTTTTTGTCAATTACTTAAGATTTTCTACAGAGACAATCATGTCATCTGTGAAGAAAGACAGTTTTATTTCTTCTTTCCCATCTGTATATCTTTTATTTCCTTTTCTTGTCTTGTTGCATTATCTAGAACTTCCAGTATGATGTTGAAAATGTAGTTGCAGCTGGGTATGGTAGCATGTGCCCATAGTCATAGCTAATCGGGAGCCTGAGATGGGAGGATTGCTTAACCCAGGAGTTCACGGCTATCCTGGGCAACATAGCAAGACTCCATTTCTTACAATAAATAAATAAATAAAAAGGTAACTGCAACATTTTAAAGAACAATTCGACAATTTTTTTCAAGACGTTAAGCACAAGTACATTTGACTTAGTAATTCCACTTCTATAATCTTTCTTAGAGCAATACTCTCAGAAGAGCATAAGGATATTTGAATAAATATGTTTGTGGCAACATTGCTTGTAATAGTAAATTTTCTTTCCCCAAATGTATATCATGAATCATCTGATAAATCTATAAAATAAAATCTGTGTAGCCATTATAATGAAAGAGTAGATCTGTATGAATTGATATGGGAGTATGTCCACAATATATTTATTAAATGAAAAAAGCAAGCTTCATAGTAGTATCCATTGTAATATTACTATAGTAATATTACATAGCAATATCTATGGTATAATCTCATTTTTATAACGAATTTTTTTATTTTTGAGACAGAGTCTTGCTCTGCTGCCCAGGCTGGAGTTCAGTGGCATGATCTCCACATACTGCAACCTCTGCCTCCTGGTTTCAAGTGATTCTCCTGCCTCAGCCTCCCGAGTAACTGGGATTACAGGTGCACACCATCATGCCCAGCTGATTCTTGTATTTTTGGTAGAGATGGGGTTTCACCATGTTGGCCACGCTAGTCTGGAACTCCTGACCTCAAGTGATCTGCCCACCTCAGCCTCCTAAAATGCTGGGATTACAGGTGTGAGCCACTGCACCCAGCCTACGTTCTTTACATACATATTAATAGATAAAAGACCTGGAAAGAAACATATCAACCCCCTAATGCTATCAGATAAGGATAAAAGTTTCCCCTTTTATTTCTGTACTTTATACTTCTCTAGTGTTGGATTTTTAAATACTAATCATATATTTTTTGTATGAGTTTCCTGGGGCTGCTGTAAGAAAGTACCACAAACTGGGTGGCTTAAGCAACAGAAATTTATTACCTCACATTTTCAAAGGTTAGAAATCTGAAATCAGGGTGCTGTCAGGGTTGGTTCCTTCTTGGGGCTGTGAGAGACACTCCATTCCGTGCCTCTCTCTTAACTGCCAGCAGCCTTAGGGATCCTTTGCTTGTTCAGGGTGTTCTCCTGGTGTCTTCCCATCCTCTTCCCTTGTTGTGTATCTGTCTCCGTATCCAAACTTCCCATTTTTATAAGGACACGGTTATATTGGACTGGTGCCTATCATAATAACCTCATCTTAACTCGATCATCTGCAAAGATCCTGTTTCCAAATATGATCGAATTCACAAGTTCTGGGAATGAGGACTTCAGTATATGGGAGGGGCAGTGTGTAATTCAATCCATGGTGTTAATTATGTAATGAAAGCAATTAAGAAAACGTGGTTTATGCTCTTCACTCCTACATCAACTTCTTTGCCTCCCTTCTATGTTTCTGTTGATGCTTTTTTTGTAAATATCAAAATGTGAGCAGCCTTTCTGACTCTTCCTCCTGAACTTTCTCCTAACCAGTGGCCCCTCCCATCAGGTATAACAGACTTTTTATGCTTTTACACTAGTGACACTTGATCACAAACCCATGAGTGTACAAGACACATGGCTTTGTATCAATAATAGTGGGAGTTTAGAGCCTCTGCTTCATTCCTAAGGATAGCAGTTCAAGAAATAATACATGCATTGTAGCTCCTGTGAGAGCTTTACTCAAGCCCGTTTCCCTTTTCTCACTAATCCTTCATAATGCCCTAGTTTCATAATGTGATTTAGTGAATTAAACTTGGACAGCCAGAAATTATATAATTAATTACATTTGGCTTCAATTATATTGACTAATTGATCCAAGCCTGTTCACAGGCTACCTGCAACCAGAGGTGGAACAGGCAGGTGGTGAGGGCTCATTAGCTTAGTAGTTCGTGTGTACTTGCTAATCTAATTTTAAAAATTGTTATAAATCTCAGATGGATCATACCATAAGTCAGAAGAGTCTCACTTCTTCCAAGCACCCCATGTTATATATGTTTCTCTTCATCAAGAGGCCTTTGTCATCTCACCTAGACTGCAGTCCCCAATGTCAGGCTCTCCCTACTCTATTCTCAAAACTCAATTAATTTTCCTGATATGGGCCTTAAATAATGGTGATCCTGGGCTTGGAGTGGGGACAGGAAGCAGTCGTGGGTACAGTAGAAATGGTTATGTGCCCCAGGAGCACAGTGTCCAAAAGCTGTGTCTTTTGATGAAATGGTTGTGAAAACTTAAGACTTTAAAGTCTGGCTAATTAAGATGTCCTCCCAGGAACAGCAGCAGCAGCACCTCAAAGCTTTTCAGAAATCCAGAATCTATGGCTCCACCCCAGACTACTGAGTCAGAATCTCAAATTTAACAAGAATGTCAGGTGATTTGTATGCATTTTAAAATGTTGAGAAGCCCTGCTTTAAAGGAAGTTTTGTGAAAACAATGGTCAGTAGGTTCCACATGTAACGTTCACATCAGTGGACAGACTGTGCAACCCAGTGAGAGGCAATCAAAAAAATACTATTTATTAAAAAAAAGTAATGTCCATTTTATGCACTTACTCTTCATGCTACCATCAATTTTAACCCCTTTTTTAGATGGTCCTTGATGTAAGAACCTGGGTATCCTCTGGTTGTAATTACTCCTCTTTTCACAAACACTGTGTATTTCCCAAAAATCTTCAATATGACATTCTATATTATATTCCAACCTAAATTTCTAGCCATATTTCCTCTTCCAATTTGTGCTATATACATCAGTCCAATAGGTGTGTTTGCTAATCCTTGGACAAACACCATGCATTCTTCCTTATTGGACATGCTAGCATAGACTTCTCACACTCTCTCCTCGTTCAGTGTCCATCTCCATGAAGACTTTTCATAATTCTTCAATCAAAAAGAATCTCTCTCTTGGAATCTTTATTAAATTGTATACCTCTCTTAAACTGATTATATTGTTTTTATGGCAGTCATTTTCTCTCCACTCGATTGGACTAGCACAGTGCCTAAATACTCAGCAGGTGATTAATAACAATTGGATAACTGACTGACTGAATGAATGAATCTGTGGTCAGGACATCACCAAATTATTCCTTGAGGACTGGTTACGTTCTAAAAACTGTGATTCTATTTGTTTTCTAATTCCTGAGGTGGTAGTATTCATATCATCTCATCTCATATAACACTCTCAGGCAGTGATTAGAGTCTACCAAGGACGTTTGCTTGAATCAAAACCAGAAGATAATGTCAGCCTTCCTCAGCCTACATCAAACCCAGACTGATGGTGGTTCCAGTGGCTGCAGGGGTAGCCAGGCCCTCTAGAAGAGGCAATCTCTTCATGACAGCCCTTCTAGCTTACACAGTTACTGAGGGTCAATCAGCTTTCAGGACATAATTTCATCCAAATAATCTTTTTAATCCAAAAATATCCCAAAGGAGCATTGATGAGAAGAGATGCATATAGCTGCAGCCAGAGGATGAAATGCCCAAACTATTTGCAATGACCACCTGCAGAGATTCTCATTTGATCTTCAGAAATAGCATTTTCAGGCATCAACTTCAAAAGCAGACTATTTTATAACATTATATCATGTTAATTTTACCTTCCCTGATATTGGCATGCTATGTGGTAATCCAGATTATACCAGATTGTACCAACTGTGATCCAACATACAGCTTCTCTTTTGAGATAGATTAGGTTTGGTTTCCTTTGCTTAAGCAAGTACAGTCATGTGTTACATAACCATGCTTTGGTCAGTGATGAACCACATATATGATAGTGGTCCCATAAGATTATAATACTGTCTTTTGACTGTACCTTTTCTATATTTAGATATGTTTAGATACACAAATATATAACCACTGTGTTACAATTGCCTATAGTGTTTGGTATAGTAACATGCTGTACAGGTTTGTAGCCTAAGAGCAATAAGTTAATCATATAGCCTAGATGTGTAGTAGGTTATTCCATCTAGGTTTGTGTAAGTACACTATGATGTTTGCACAACGACAAAATCACACACATTGCATTTCTCAGAACATATCCCCATTGTTAAGTGATACATGACTGTACTTCAAAGGTGGTGCACCTATCAAGAAACTATTGTAATGTGAATATCAATATCAGAAATAACTAAATCAGATTTCCTGTGGAAACCCAAGGGCGTATACAATAGATTTGAATTTAAAGTGATTGATAAAATGTAGTTTGGTGATTTTTATTATGGTAATTTATATGTAAGAAAAAATGTATCACTTTAACCATTTTTAAAATATATAGTTCAGCAGTATTAAGTATATCACATTTTTGTGAAACCATCACCACCATCCGTCCCCAGAACATTTTCATCTATTCCAGCTGAAAGTATGTACTTATTAAACATGAATTTCTTGTTCCTCCCCTCCCTCAATCCCTGGCTACCACCATCCTACTTTCTGTCTCTATGAATTTGCCTTGGATTCTAGATACCTCATTTAAATGGAATCATACAATATTTGTCCTTTTGCGTATGACTTATTTCACCTAGCATAACGTTGTCAAGGTCCATCCATGTTGTAGCATGCCCCAAAATTTTCTTCCGTTTTAAGGCTGAATAATATTCCATTGTATGTATATGTCAGATTTTGTTTATCCACTTATCCATTCTTGGATACTTGGGTTGCTTCTACCTTTTGGCTACTGTGAATAATGCTGCTATGAACATGGATGTCCAAATTGTAGTTTAGGTTGTTGAGACAATCTAGCATTTTGAACATGAGGTCAATGCATTTGGAGAAGCACAAGCTGTAGAGTTTGTTCTTCCATTGATTCAGTGTCAAAATCCACATTGATGCTGATAACTCATCATACATCAAATAACTAATTCTGATAATCAGTCCTTCAGTCTTTGTAACAACTAATGCTTATTAATGTGAAAATAAAATCTAAGCGATGTAAATGGGGATCTTGGCAATTTTACCTGAGCACAGATGATAATAAAGATTGCGTCTCTTGATTGGGAGGGGTGGCTCACTCCTGTAATCCCAGCACTTTGAGAGGCCAAGGCAGGTGGATCACTTGAGGCCAGGAGTTTAAGATCAGCCTGGTGAACCTGGAGAAACCCTGTCTCTACTGAAAAATACCAAAAAAAAAAAAAAAAAAAAAATTAGCTGGACGTGGTGGTGCATGCCTGTAATCCCAGCTACTTGGGAGGCTGAGGCACGAGAATCACTTGAACCTGGGAGATGGAAGTTGCAGTGAGCTGAGATTGTGCCACTGCACTCCAGCCTGGGTGACAGAACAAGACTGTCAAAAAAAAAAAAAAAGTTGTGTTTCTTGTAGTAAAAATTGTCATTTAATTTAAAAATAGATTCATAATCAAATCACTACACTTTTTCAAATCCCACCTGATTTAGAGTTATCAAGTAAAGACGTATTACAGAATACATCTTTATTTAAAATAAATTTTCCCAGATTTTCCATGTGGCTTCCTGAAGATTCTCCACAGTAGCTCTACCTGGGAGCTTCCTCTTATATCTTGTAGTATTTGGAATGAGGGTGATTTTCTTTGACCACATTCTATATTGTATTTATCCACCTTATGCCACTAGCTCTGTAGCCAAAAAGTGAACATGGTATTAATGGGATGCAGTCCTATTGACAGTAATAACAGTGTGGATTGCTAACCACATGATAAGATCAAGATGCATATTTGAATTGGCTGTATTTATGTTCCAGATGCAAGATGATTATCTGACAGCAGAGGCAACATGATTTAATACATAAGGCCCAGGGCCAGGAATTGGGAAATCTGGGTTTTATTCTTGGCTTCATCACTTAGGCCATGTATACATGAGTGGAGTATTTTGTAATTGCACTGTTCTCGTTGACCCCAAACTGCTTCCTGCCCTGCCCTGCCACCAGAAGTGTTTTATTACATTGTTATGATATCATTGCTTCTCTTCTTTCCCTCTATTTCTCTTATCTTTCCTCATCTTCCCTATTTCTTAATAAATTGTACTAAATTTGTATCATATGAGCAATACATAAATACATTTTATTATTTTTCAAAAACTTACAGAGAATATTGATTCCCCCTGAATCTCCACTCTTCCATTTCTAAGCAGCTCTCATTCTCTTGTTCCTAATCTTGTTCTTTTTCCTATCTGCTTTTATTTCATTGATTTTCTGATTGTAGAGACTCACCCCATTTCTACACTACCCTCTTTTTCATACCTACACCAGCTTGAGTTTCATATAAGATATTCCCAATATAATATATTCCTCTAAAATACACTAAGGCAAGGGGAGAAATATGCGAAGGGTGATAGAGAACACAAAAAGCAAACTAGGAAACAGAATGGAAAACTGGAAGAGTCCCAGGGATCTGTGGGATTGGATTCTGGGTGAACTGAAAACTGCTCTCAATGCATCCCATCCTATCAAGTAGGTAGTCAGCAGAATTTTCTGTTGACAATTCTGAGACGCCCTCTCAAGGAAACTTGTGATTTCCTTGAGAATCAGAGATCTTTGCATTTCTGGGTTGCTGTCATCCCCACTTTCATCAAAGAGATGCCCAGGTTGATTTCACATCCATGGGGACACTCTTCTGCCTCATCTAACCTCACCAGGAGGAAGAGGATAATAGGGAATGAAGAAGGTAAATCCACAATTAAAAGTGCCAGAAGACTAGGGATAGTAGCCATCATCCACAGCATTCTTCCCCCTTAGAAAGAGCATCACTGAAGAGGTCCAGCACTGGGCTGAAAGGGACTAAGAATGGTCATCTTGCCTGGGTAAATCTTAATTTTTTCCTAGGTCATGTAGGCAAAGAGGCTGAAAGGAGAAGGTTGGAGACTGGTTATGTTGGCCAGAATGTGCTGTTTGGGGTTGTGCTTTTCGTTCCTTTTGTGTTGCAGTAGTTATATGCTGAGTGATTCAGGATAGAGTTAGCATTTAGTAATTTTTACAGCAATAAAATATTATTGGCAAAAATAAAGACCCATGTTTCCTTGACCTGAATACTGCCGCAAAACTCAGGCAGTTTAGTAATTCTCAACTATATGGATATATACATACACACACATTTGAAAACATTATATATATTCTTTACCTTAAAAAATGGAGCAGGCAGGTGGCTGAAAGCTTAATATTACTGCTTTGCCACATACCACATAGGTTAATAAGTCAAACTGCTTCCTGTATTTCATATATTCAGAGGCTTTCATACTTTTTCTGTTGTCTTTTCCTCTAATTTTTTTTAATAAAGAGATAAAGTATTACAGGTGTAATTAAGTCCTTTTGGCACCATTCCCTGATCTCATTTCTTTCTCTTCCTATCTCTTTCCTAAGAGGTAACCAGCAGTCCAAAGTTGTGCATCTTTCCTGTTCATATTCTAAGTTTTAATTGCATCTGTGTGCATCCTGAACTAATATACAATACTGTTGAGTATTTTAAAATTTATAAGTATTGATTTATTCCATATATATCTTTCTTAAATGTGACCTTTGTACTCAACATTGTTCTTGAATTTTTATCACATATTTGTACCACTTCTCAATACTTGCAATTATATGTGCAAGTTCCTAATTCCCTTGTCATTGCTTCTATCTAATTGCAGATCCCAAAATGGGTAGGCTCTGTTTGACCTTGTGGAATTGTTGAAGATGCAGTTCTCAACAGCATCACTAGATGTTGTAAGTATATTAAATAAATTTAATAAGTGGGATCCATAACCTGATAATAGCATTTGTAATAACTTATAGGACTGGACCATCCTCTGACATTTAAATTTTGGAGTTTCCTTAGGTGACATTTTGAAGTTTTCTAACAGTAAGTCTAGAATATAATGATCATATAAAATTTGACATATATAATAACCAAGAAAAGGCCATAATATTTTAATTACATCACAGAAAAGATAGGTGTGTCTTATCATTTAAACAGTACTCCAAACATATTCTTACCAATTAATTTATTAGAATGTTAAAAGCCCATATCCAGACTTGGCTCAATCAATGAACACATCCAGAAGTAAGATTAATGTGTCCATATAAAATTTCCCTCTGAAAAGAACCAGAGGTCTTCGGAGAAGTGGCTGATTCTGTGACAAGAAATATACAAGATGATCTGGGAACATCTTGTCCTACAGATATCAAGTAAACTATCAAAAGACTTCTATGGTCATTTCAAAAGGACTCAGGAACCAAAATAAAGAGGCTCCAACTGACCAGAAATAGATTAAGTAGTGCGTCAATTCAGATAAAAACTGCAATGGATTAAAACTGATCAAATACATTTAAATCCATGGTCACCTTTGGAGAATGCAAGACATTGACAACTCATAATTTTGAAAATAGGTAAACAAACAGAAAGAATCAAGTATTTATCCCAGGTTCCCTATATATTATATGCCAATGGGTAACTGCTATGGTCTCAATGTTTGTGTCCCCCTAGAATTCACAGGTTGAAATCCTAATTCCCAAGGTGATGGTGTTAAGAGGTGAGGGTTTTGCGAGGTGGTTAGGTTAAGAAGCCTCCACCCTCAAGAGTTTGGATTAGTGCCCTTATAAGAGACCACAGAAAGACTCCTCTCCTTTTCTACTATGTGGACCCTCGCCAAACATTGAATTTTCTGATACTCTCGTCTTGGACTTCCCAGCCACCAGAAATGTGAGAAATCAATTTCTGTTGTTTATAATCCACCCAGTATATGGTATTTTGTTATAGCAGCCAAAACAGACTAAAATAGCAACAAAATAGGAAATGCAAGAAAATAGCTCTTTGAGTAAGTGTTATAGCTAATAAATAAAGAAGAGATGATAGAATTATAATAGTACTATTTTGCAACCTTTCATGAACTAATGGATTAACAATAGCTGCTAACATCTCACAATTAGAGATAACTCCTTATAAGGCCAGGCACAGTGGCTCACACCTGTAGTCCCAAAACTCTGGGAGGCTGAGGTGGGTGGATCACCTGAGGTCAGGAATTCAAGATTAGCCTGGCCAACATGGTGAAACCCTGTCTCTAATAAAAATACAAAAAAATTAGCTGGGCGTGGTGGTGTGCATCTGTAATCCCAGCTACTTGGGAGGCTGAGGCAGAAGAATCTCTTCAACCTGGGAGGCGAGGTTGCAGTGAGCTGAGATGGCACCACTGCACTCCAGCCTGGGGGACAGAGTGAGACTCTGTCTCAAAATAAATAAATAAATAAATAGATAGATAACTCCTGATAGAAATACAAACCACCACTTTGATGAAATAGCCTCAACAAACAAATCAAACTTAAATCCAAGAAAGCTAGATCCAGCTAATAATTTATGGGAAATACAGTCAGAAGAAAAGCATATGCAAGAAATATACTAAGCTACACCATGGGGATGCAACCAGCAAAACCCCAACTCAAGGAGATTCTATAGGAAAAACAACCTTGTGTCTTCAACAAGTAAATTACAAGCAGAAAGAAAGGAGAGAGAATTCATAGATTAAAAGTGACTTCAGAAACATACCAAGAAATCATAACATGGAAATTTTACTTGAATTCTGATATAATCAAATGAACCATTAAAACACTTTAATAACATTTATAAGATCATTGGAAATATGAACACTGTATGATGATATGAGGAATTGCTCGATGTTTTTAGGTTTGAAAATGGTACTGTAGCTTTTCTTATAATTTGCATGATTTCTTATGTAAATAAGGTATTTATAAATGAATTAGTATATAGGTTTTGATTCAAGATAATAAGGAAAGAACGTATGTCATACTTCAGTAACTAACTGATGAAATAATATGAGGAGAGGTATAGATGTAAATGAAATCAAATTGGCCATAAGCTGGTAATTGTTGAATCAGTTCATGAGCTCATGGGGATTTGTTATACTATTTTATATGTTTGAAATTTTCCATATTAAAAAGTTTTTGAAAAAACCTAACTGGGGAAAAATAAAGTGGGGAAGAGGAATTTAGACACCAAGCTTTGCTTAGGAGTCTCTGCTTGTAGTTTTTCTAAGACAAGAGTTCCAGATTCTGTAAGAAAAGGGGTCACTTTAGGAAAGGATATGATGTGAAAACCATAAAAATAAATTCCAGAAACTGTACTTGTTCAAACAACATACCTGTGAGGTTTGGACCCCACGGGGTGCTGAGATGGACTTCAGAAAGTCTTCAAATTCCCTGAAGTTGTACTCAAGATATTCTCCATATGCGCATATTTCTAAAAAGAAAGTGCAAAGCTTCATCAGACCCTTAAAGGGAACCCTTTCCTCCTGAACTTTTAAGAACTACTACCTGCAGCAGGGAAATGAAAACAGAAAGGATTTATACCCATGGGTTCCATGGCCAACCCAATAGGAAGTGAGCAGCTGTGAGCACTGCAGGATCTCTGTGAACTGGATACTTGGGCAGTACCACAGTATCTGGGTTGTATCTGTGGTCAGTCATCCCTTACTCTTCTAGCTGAAGAAAAGGTCATGGTGAACCCTGACCCCATGCACTTTACCAACAACTAATGTCAGAGCTCATGCAGCTGTAACGGCAGCAATCCTCAGTTTAGGGAATTTTCAAGTCAGCACTTTCTGTTCAGAATATCTATTGGCCCTGGAATTTTCTAATGCTTCATAAAGGCCCTGTCATTAAGGGTCCTTCTGATGCTGAAAATAAATGAGGCTAAGGTGTAGGAAACCCTGTGTTATTTCAGCACACCAGATATCTAAGAGAAGATGAAATATAAACTTCCAGGGACATTGATTAGCTTCTCTCAATGATTTATTCGTCTCAGTGACTTACGCAATTCACGATATGCAGTCTCCGAGATGAAAACAAAAGTGGTGAGTTTTCCTAGACTAATCCTTTTTCTCCTACAAAAGGTAATCAGGGCTTTTTGCCTGCTGAGAAAAAAGTTGTAGTGGTGACTTGGGCAACCAGCAAGAAGAGGCTTTCAGAATAGCAAGCAGGTTTTTACTTTCAAGTCTGTGCTATTATATTCAAAAAGACAGAGTTCCAGAGCTCTCAGATGCCAAATGCTCATTGCTCAAGAATAATAATAACTATAAAACAGAACAGCATATAGATTGATAGGTCCTTGGAGGTTATAATGGGGATCAAAGAGTTTAACAACTCACTAAATAGGCATGTTTTTAACAACCGAGCTGATCATAGCCATTTTGGAGAGCCTGCATGTCTAAAGATAAGCTTATGCTTCTAGTAGAGAAATAATGACCAGTGTATTCTGTTGCTGACCATCCAGGGTTATTTTATTCAGCATTTGATCAATGCTTGGGTGTTAGAAGACCTTGCCAATCATTATTTAAGGGAATCAGCACTGCTGGGTCTTAGATTGGCCTGATAAAGGGAGAGACCCCTAGAGAAACTGTGAGATCCAAGCCATTTCTCAGACTGAAACAGAATTAATCACCTATTATAGAATGCCTCTTATGGTGAAGTTGCATAACTTGTCCACATTCATTTGGCCCCTACCTCAGAACAAGATGGCCAGTGCCAAGCACAATGCCTTACATGTAGAAGGAACTCAAACATGTGTTGAATGAATTACTGCAGCGTATCAGTGAATTTGAGCATGAAATCGTTGGCTAGAGAAATTTTTCTATTCTGGAATTTACTCTTTCATCAGAAAATAAAGGAATGGAGAATGTATTAGGCTATTTTGACATAACCCAAATAATAGTAGCTTGTGTTTTTGAACATTTACTGTAAATTGGGGAGTATTATAAACATTTTACATGTGTTAATTCTCACAAGTTAGTGAGATAGGTGTCATTACCCATTTTTACAAATAGAAAACTGAGGCACAGAGAATTAAATTTATATGCTGTAAGTCTTATAACTGGTAAGTGGTACAGCCTGGAATCAAACCTAGTCTGACTCACACCAGGATCGGCAGTCTTTACCAGTGTTTCAGACTGCCACTACCTATCCACAGCAAATGAACAAAGGCCTTGTTTAAAGATCTACATTACTTTGAGAGGATCTTACAAAGAAAATTTTCAGTGTGATAAAGATGCCATATACTACAGTGGTATAGAGCCTAGGCCCCAGAATCAGGATTTGATTTATGGCTCTACTAATGATCCTAAGCAGGTTAACCTCTCTAAGCTTACTTTAAACTGGAGATAATAGTACTTGCCTCAGAGAGCATTTCTGAAAATTAAATAAAATAGTCCACATAGGACTGGATAAAGAAAATATGGCACATGTACATCATGGGAATACTCTGCAGCCATTAAAAAGAATGAAATTTTGTCCTTTGCAGCAACATGAATGCAGTTGGAGGCCATTATCCTAAGTAAATTGACACAGGAACAGAAAACAAAATTCCACATGTTCTCACTTGTAAGTGGGACCTAAACATTGGGTACTCATGGATATAAAGATGGGTTATAACAACAGACACTTTGGACTACTAGAAGTGGGAGGGAGGGGGATGGTCAGGGTTGAAAAACTAACTATTGGGTACTACATTCAGTACCTGGGTGATGGGATTAATTGTACCCCAAACATCGGCATTATGCAAACCTGCACAAGTACCACCTGAATCTAAAGTAAAAGTTGAAATTATTAAAAAATAATAATAATTCACATAAAGCACTTAGTATGTTTTGCACACATAATAATGATAATACTAACATGTTTACTGAGCTATTATGTACTTACTAAACATCCAATAAATTTTAGTTAACATAGTTCAGTGTGCTCAATGACAGGTTGAAGTCCACCACATTTGGATGGTTTTTAGTCTTTCCTAACATTAAGGCATGTACTTATCATCATTGAATTCAATAACTTTGTGGAACAATCTTCATTAGCCTCAAGTTAATGATTAATCAAAAAAGATTGGGTTTTTTTGTGTGTGTGTGAAAGGTCTATATACTACTAAGATGCCCTAAATCAGAGAGTTGAAGAAGGCTAGCCAATTATATGTTGCTCAGATCCACTCCCTGCTAAGTAGGAGTTAATATTACTAAAGGTCAGTGAGAAAACATTTTAAAACCTGCCTTGACCATTTATTTCCATATAGAGAAGTGGACTTAACATCAACTCTGGATGTCATCGTAGCTTTCAGACCTACTGAGACTTCTGTGGCAAGGCAGGATGGAGAAAAGAGTAAACCAGGACTAGAGGGGACAGATGAGCTCTACCCACTAACTGAGAATCTTGGCCATTACTTAGAACGTGCAGAGGGTTAACAGTGACCTTAGGTCTGATTCCAACTTGTCACGATATTGAAGAAGTCTGATCTCATGGCAGGAGCACCACAATAGTCTTTAGGCAGTAACATCTTGGTTCTTTGGGATTTCATAATAAGAGGCAGACTTTTTTCACAAAATCCAGTTGTAGCTAGGTATAAATCTGTGGCAAAAGGAGTAAGAACAAGATCCAGATTTTGAAGGAAAGTTGGTAAGAGCTAGAAAGGTTTTCAGGACCACAGCCAAATGTAGTCCAGGCCTGGCAGGGACCTGGAAGGAGTGAAATCCAGGAGCCAAGATGAAAATCTAACCTCCTCTCCAGGAACATGTGCTACAGGATACGAGAAGAAGCTGCAGCAAAGATAATCATGAAGTGCTTTTTGAGAATTAAGTAGAAACTAAAGCAGTATAAGGAAGCACAGATAAGTTAGAATAGCAGTGGTGAAGACCTCAAATCCCTTCATGCATTAAAGCTGAGATCTCTAAACTGGAATCCATTTACGGAGTTCAGAGGTCCCCCTGGAATATGCACAAAATATTCTTAGGTGGACACATATGTGCAGTTTTCTGGGAGGAAAGTTCATAGCTTTCATCTGATTCTCAAAGTAGTTTGTGATCCAAAAAATGTATGACGACTGGCCTGAGTGAAGTTCATATAGACTTGATTATTTGGTAGTTACATTCGTGAGACATATTTCCTTAACGTTTGAACTCATAAAAAAACACAGGTAGTAAGTAGTGAAATCACAGCATTTTCACAGGTTGCTGTTCTTCATATCCAAAGAGGACCCACTTGGCCCAGAGAGCCACCTGCCTTCGATGCGGCCACCAAGAAAGACTAAGGCCTGATCAGCAGGCCAGTGTCCCCTTTGCTGACACTGTATTCTCAAGACTGCCCTGGGTGTGTGGCTTCACCTCTCTCTTTTTAGTCCAGTGTTGTTTGTATCATGGAGACTAAAATGTATCTATGGAAAGGGTTCTTAAACTCCTATTTGCAAAGGGGTGCCAGACTGACAAGGTTTTTCATGGTTCATGTAAAAATGAGAAGAACAGGGAAAATTAAATGAATTTTCTTTCACAAAACTAAATCTATTCAATTTAAGTAACTATCCTTTATTCTGATAAGGTCAAAAAATTATACCCTTACTAATTATTTGATGTTAAACAAAATATGTGTTGATGGTGATATTTGATGGTGGTTTTGTTCTTTGATTTTTATTCTACTTGATCTATGTTGGTCTCCAATTTAAAACAAAACAAAAAACGTTTTTCTAGCCCATGAAATCAAAATTGTAGGAATTGTTTCCTGATATACTCAACAGCAATGCATCTAGCCTACAAGTGACTGCCACAATCCGATCAAATGTTTGTTTTTCCACTCTATGCCTAGTGACTACTCATGTGACTGATTTTCTGTGGTGGAGTTGGAACAAAAATAGGCACAACTGACTTGTTTATTTGTTAAGTACATGCCTGGCTTAGACAATGAGGATAGCATCAGGACTTAGTAGTTCCATCTTTAACTTAGAATGTGCACAGCATCACATTTAGTAAATGCTCGTTGAAATAAAATTGACTCGCTTTGTTCAAGACACATAAGGAACCCTCATGCAGTTCCCTCCTGCCCGCTGTGAGTCACATTCGGCCAACTGCCACCCGGCACAGGGCTACTCACTTTCTGTGAGTGAAAAGTAGCTCTTATAAAGGGATGGAGTATTACGGCAAGAATCTACTTATGAGAGTCTCAGTCTCAATTTTATTAATGACTTATTCTGTGACCTGAAATGGTCACTCAAGTGGACTTTCTATCCTACTTGCAGAGAATGAAAAAGTGGCAAATTACTGTTGTTGCCTAATAGTCTTAGTATAAGGACATTAGGCTGAATTAGTTATGTAGGCATTATTCAGGAACAGAAATTTCTTGACATAACTATGGACTTCAAAAATTGTGAAGCTGAAATATTTTAATCTCAGGATAAACCCATTATTTAAGTTAAGGTACTCTTGAGAACAAATATGATTACTTCATTGATGTATTCACACCAGAGTATTAAGACATTTTGGTTTTTGAAAAATCTATGTGCTTCATTCTTTATCAGTTGGATAGTGTCTATTATAGTTAAAGCTAGTCTATTAAATAATCTTTATATAAAATGATTTTATAGAAAACCTATTAAAATAAATGTCTTGTACAGAAAAGTTATAATGGGACAGAAACTATTATTAAACTCATTTTCAAGAATGATTCTCTACAAGAAATACTTTGTATGACCTTTGTGTAACCTTCTCAAGGTTACAGGGTTACTTGGACAAGTCAGGTAACATCTCCCTGCTCCTCGACGCTATAAATAAGAATAGAAGCTACCTCAAAGAATTAAATGTGGTAACACATGTATGTTAGAAGAGCAGGACACACAACAATCATTTGACAAACTTTAGCTAATATTATATTCTTCTTATTATTATTGGCACACTTGAAGTATCAGTTGCAGAATACGTTAACAGCAAGAAAAAAGCTCTGAACAATCTTATGGTGTATTGTTCTACCATTAAGTTGCAAGTTTCCCTCAATTCATCTCTGTCGTATCTTCCTGAGAAAACAGCAGAATAGAAATAAGTTCAATCATTCTCCATCTCAAACCTTATAAGACTCTCAGAAAAACCTATCTGATCTCTAGCAAATCTATACCAACATCATGCACACATGCGTGTGTGTGCACACTTACACAGACACACGTGCACATGCACACACACATACACAAAACGACGTGTAATTTTTAGTGAGATTCTCTACGAATTTCAATAAACATCTGTAGATAAGGTTCATTCTTTAGACTAAATTATATTTTATTGCAAACATTGCTATAAACAATAGGAATGTTGCTTAAAAGCATGAGCCTAGAAGGCGGGCCATGTGGTTTCAAGTTTCAGCTCTACAATGTACAATTATTTGTCTTTTCTAATCCTTGGCATCCTCATCTGTAACACCTGCTTTATAGGAGAAAGGCTGTAGTTAAATGAGATGTTGCATGTAAAACACTCAGCGCAGGGCCTGGCACCTTGCCACGTTTAAAATTCATTAAATTTTAGCAATTATTACTCTTCATTACAGATGTTGTATTTTTCATCTCTAAAAGTTCTATTTGGATCCTTTTTATATTTTCTATTTCTCTCTTCATCAGGCTTGTGTTTTCTCTAAAATTTTTAGCACATAGAGAATATAATAAGTGTTTGAAGTCCTCATCTGTTAGTTCCGTCATCTGTTAGTTCCCTTATCTTTGTCATTTCCCAGTCTGGAAATACTTTGGTCATTAAACTGGTGCAATCACAGGACTCACCTTGTTTGCTTCTCTTCTCTCAGGGATGAGAGTCCTGTGCTCTCTACTGTCCAATGTCTAAAAATTGCTGTTTCACATTTTTTGTCCAGTTTTCCAGTTGCTCAGGGTGGGAGGATAAATCCAGTCCACGTTACTCCATCTTAGCCAGAAGTTGAAGTCTTTGGCTATTATTATATCTGAAAGCCAGCCTTAGTTATAAAGCAGTCCTCAGCTGTAAGTCAGATTAAAAGGAGTAACAAATGTGATACATTAGAGACTATACAGGTTTATGTATGCGGTTATAGGATGTTATTAAATACATGTATCAATTTAAGCATGTACCATTTTATTTTTCTTCTTGTTTTTCCACTTCTGAAAATATTTGGTTTTTGAATTCTTGACACTGGGCCAATCTTTATGAAAAGCCACAAGTTAGGAAGTTTTGTATAATTTAAAATCCTGCTTAAGGTATGATTAAGGCTTTTGTGAATGACTTGGTAAATTAAAATTTTCCCTAAAAGAAAAAAATTTGATTTTTTTTGTTTTTTTCCTGAGCCATGCAATCTTCTGAATATTGAAAATTAGATTACTCTTGCATAAATACATTGCAACTGTAATTTAACAACCTATGAAGTTAAAGTATTAAGATCCTCCCAAGTGCAAGGTTTAATTTTTATTATGCAGAATCATACTAATATTAAGCATTATTACATTGTTCAACATTAGATGAATTTGCAGAAAGTGTGTGTATGACAGAGTGTGTGTGTGTGTGTGTGTGTGTATACGTGCTCGTGCGCATGTGTGTGTGTATAGGAGACCCAGGAAGAATACGCACACATGCCAGGGAGAATTAAGCTCAATTTCTTGCTTAAATAAATATTTTATACTTGTTAATATGGTATTTAATCTTCAGGCTGAGAATTATAAACCCATGAAGGGAAATTGAGGAATTCAGACTTTAAAAAAATGCCCTTGAAATGAAATTTAATCACTGCATTTTGAGACATATAAAATATACTACAAAGTGTGAGATAGCTCTACAAAATTTTTATTATGTAGAAATCATTCAAATGAGAAACACCTGCTAGATTCACAAACTGTAGTATATATGTCTAATAAAAATTACTCTTAAATCTTACGTTTCCCCTTTGAGACATTTATTGTTCCTGGAGAAAGCAGTATTTTTTTTCTTATCCTAAATATGTCTTCTATTAAACTAGAGAGTTCTATAAATCAGTAATAACCTTTTAGATATCAACCTCTTCATAATTATGTCCTCCAAACCCAGGTAATTGTTTACATATTTTATACAGAAATAAATAGGAGAAAACATATGTTCCATTTGTTGGGGGGGGCAGTATAAAGATTTAGATTATTTTTCAGCATTTGTGAAGTTTGGCTTTACACTCTTTTATATTACATTTGAATAATTAATTTATTTCACACAGAGAAACAAATACATCAGATGATGCTATGCAGCTCTGAAGGAAGAACATGTATTGCCAGGTAGGAACTGATATGGATTATATCAATATGTGGCTTTTATTAAATATAATCCTCTACATGAGTTAGTATACCTTGAGTGTACTATGACGATGATTTTAACTATCTAACGAGTTAAAATGAATGTTTGGTTTTAGTCAAATCGAGCTCTGGGTATTCTGATGCTTTTGCTATATTTCTCAACAGGAAGTGGGTAAACTTCCAAACAAGAATGATCTCAGATTAAGAAACAACACCAGCATCTCGAAGGCTGTCTGTTTGTACAATGAAATGACAGCAAACAGAGAGGCCTGCGGCTGTTTTCCTAGATGCCTACTCTGGGTGCCAGCCATCTGTGTTCATTTAGGTGGTGTATGTGTGTAGGTAGGTGAAGGGAGGGGGAGAGATAGATCTCAGGTTGCAGGTCTGAGTGTGGTCTCTGATACAGAATGAAACCTCTGCCTGGTGCCTCTCAAACAAGACCTTCATCTGCTGGTCTCTCCAGAGAAGTAATTTCACCAATACCAGCCACGAGGGGTATGTTTTGTGTTTTCTTTATTCAAAGTGAAAGATGTTAAACAGAAATTTTCAGAAGCACTTTTGTTTGGAAGAGGGGAAAGGAAGATCGCGGAAACTGGAAAACATCCATGAAATTAGCCCTAAATCATGGCCAATACTGATCATTTCCTGACAAGCTGTCTGTCAACCAAGCCAGAACAATAGTTTATTCAAGGCCCTCTGGTGCTGACAGTGATAGAGTATTGTTAATTAAATATTGGTACAATGGTGGATATTTTTAAATTTTAACTTTCATAACTGCAGTAGTGGCTAGAACAGCACTTTACTATCAGGAGTCCTCAAAATACATTGTTAATGTCTCTCCTACAGATTGCATTAACAGGAATTAGAAGAGTATCAGTTTAAAGTAAAGGCCCTGAGAGCTTATTTGACTCACCTAAGAGCAGTGAAAGAGAAGAGAACAGAAAGTAGAGATGCCTTCAGTCATGTTAGCTCCAAATTTGGTATTTATTTGTGAAAAAGTCTATCTAAATACAATGTCTATAAATAGGAGATGGAAATGAGCTAATTTGGCTGCATGATTTTATTTATTCATTATCCATAACCAAAAAATTCTGGTTGTCTTTAATTAATCTTATATTTCACAATATTTCTATGGCCTGAAATATCATTAGAATAATCTTCCAATGCTATTCTCCCACCCTCTCTCTTTCCCTCTTGCTCTCTCTTCACCCCCTTCTCTCTCATTATCTCTCTGAGTTTTTGTAGCTCTCACTTATCTGAACTTCTGTGACATATTCATAAAATTTCACAATATTTCTATGGCCTGAAATATCATTAGAATAATCTTCCAATGCTATTCTCCCACCCTCTCTCTTTCCCTCTTGCTCTCTCTTCACCCCCTTCTCTCTCATTATCTCTCTGAGTTTTTGTAGCTCTCACTTATCTGAACTTCTGTGACATATTCATAAAATTTCACAATATTTCTATGGCCTGAAATATCATTAAAATATTCTTCCAATGCTATTTTCCCACCCTCTCTCTTTCCCTTTTGCTCTCTCTCCACCCCCTTCTCTCTCATTATCTCTCTGAGTTTTTGTAGCTCTCACTTATCTGACCTTCTGTGACATATTCTGTTCTTAAACTTGAATTGGTTAATGTTGTGATTCTAACACCCATGTCCTAATCTAAGAGGAGGGCATGCCAGATTCTGGGGTTAACTTTCTGGATGTCATGTCTGCTTACAGAAAAATGATTTGTATTCCCAACTTAGTGTCAAATTATGCATTTATGAAATTACTATAAGGTGTGAAACTGTTCCTCCTAAGCCCTTCTCAAGGAAAAAAAAAATCTCTTTATTAACTGGACCAAAAAGCTACTTTGAGAAAAGCTCCCAAACTTTACAGTAGTAAGAACATTTCAAATTTCTTAGAATGCTGTGTTTCTAGGGTTTGCATGTAATCAAAATGCTTAGGAGAAGAGCAGGAACACTTATTAAGTATTTCACATATCTTGAGAATTATTTAAAATAAGAAACAGACTCACCTGGGTAGCATTTTGCCTTGAAAATTCACTGGCCCGAGTTTGTACACCACAATGCAAAAGATGCATAAGGAACTATTTAAGCTGAACTCTTTCTATTCTGGTATTTGACAACCACTACGAGAGATTTCTTCCTAGGTGTAAAGCAGTTTCTTCCTAAGGGCTCTGATAACTCTGTCTCCACCTTTTGCAATTTGTGTCTTCCTGTTACTCTGTCTTATTTCATGAGCCAGCAAGCACATATCTGTCCAGAATCTTAGGATTCTCACAAAAAGTACAGGACAAAGATCCTACACTCAAGAAGTTTAGCGTGTGGTTGTGGGGAGCAAAACTAAAAAATGTAGGAAATAAATGGAGAACCTATATGTTTTGAAGAGCAATAGGAAATGGTTTTGTGAGATTAGGTGAGTAGAAAGCAATGGCATAGATTGGGGAAATAGCTTGGTTTATAAGACTAACATTGAAGAGAGCCCTTGGAGTAGAGAAGAAGGCAAGGAAGACAGGTAAATAGTGTTGCACAGATGAGAGGGAATCAATTCATTTACTACCTTGAACTTAATGCCACTGTAGATTCTTGAGTGGGGAGTGACATGATGAAGGAACTGTTTAGGAAAATCACTCCAACAATGATATTGGAGGTTTGGTAGGAAACAGTCTGGAAGCATGCAGCTGTATCAAGCAGCTGTTGGAGTGATCCACAGTGATCAGACTTGGGCTGAGGTTATGGCAGAATTAATGAAAATAACCCAATCTTGAGGATACTTTGAAGAAATAAACAATGGTGTATGGCAGACTATAGGAGAAGGGCACTGGTAAATTGTCCAAGGTGACATCTTGATCTCAAGCTTGGAAAGCTGGAAGAACGCTGGTATCACCGAGAAATGAGAAAGTTGGTAACTTGGATAGGAAATGCATTTTCGAAAAATTGTAAAATGTATTTGAGATTATGGTAGCTTCAATTAACATTTTTATATATATTTTTAAAACATTCTAGGCCAGGCGTGGTGGCTCACGCCTATAATCCCAGGCCAAGGTGGGCAGATTACTTAAAGTCAGGAGTTCGAGACCAGTGGGGCCAACATAGTGAAACCCTGTCTCTACTAAAAATACAAAAATTAGCCGGGTATGTGGCTATAACCCAACTACTTGGGAGGCTAAGGCACGACAATCACTTGAACCCAGGAGGCAGAGGTTGCAGTGAGCCGAGATTGCGTTACTGCACTCCACACTCCAGCCTGGGTGGCAGAGTGAGACTCCATCTCAAAACAAACAAAACATTCTAATCTTCTAGCATTCCTACTTTTGAATATACACCAGAAATAATTGAAAGTAGGGATTTGAACAGATATTTGTACATCCATGTTCACAGAGCAGCATGATTCACAGTAGCAAAAGATGGAAACAACCAAAATGTCCATTGAAGGATGAAGGAATGAACAAAATGGGGTGTACACAAACACACACACACACACACACACACACACACATGAATATTATTCACCCTTAAAATGGAATGGACCAGGCATAGTAGCTCACACCTGTAATCCTAGTACTTTGGGAGGCCAAGGCTGGTGGATCGCTTGAGCCCAGAAGTTCAAGACCAGCCTGGCCAACATGGTGAAACCTTGTCTCTACAAAAAAAAAAAAAAAAAAAAAAAAAATACAAAAAATTAGTCGGGCATGGTGGCACACACTTGTAGTCCCAGCCGCTCAGAAGGCTGAGACAGGATGATCACTTGGGCCTGGGAGGTCAAGGCTCCAGTGAGCTGTGAACACGCCACTGCACTCCAGCCTGGGCAACAGAGTGAGACCCTGTCTCAAAATAAAAGAAAGGAATGAAGCCCTGATACATGCTAAAACATGGATGAAGCTTGAGGGCATTATATCAAGTAAAATAAGCCAGATACAAAAGGACAAATATTATATGATTCCACTTGTATGTGGTACCTGTAATAGTCAAATGCCTAGAGACAGGAAGTAGATGGAGTTTATCAGGGGTTGAAGGGAGAGGGGAATGGAGAGTTATTGTTTAATGGGTACAGAATTCAGTTTGGAAAGATGAAAACATTCTGGAGACGATGGTGGTGACAGTTGCAGAACAATGTGAAAGTACTTAATGCCACTGAAATGTATACTCAACAATGGCTAAAATGGTTAAGTTTATATTATGTATACTTCCAAATAGAAAAATGAATGTCATAAAGAAAGACTGTGTAAACACTGAGGGCAAACCAAGGAAGTGCTTCCAAGAAACAAGTGGAATCTGTACACCTGAATTCAAACATAGGACCTGCCACTTACTAGCTGTATGCCTCTTTTTCTTGTCTGTAAAAGGGTGCAATGATGAGAACTAAAAGAAATAACATGTAGCACTCTTTTTGTATTTGGTAGGTGCTCCACAAATATTAGTTTTCTTTACAGTTAAAAAAAATTACTCTTCAATTTGAACTTTTTCCCTGACAGAATTAGACTTCAGATATATTACTGTGCATCTTGCATGCCAGAGAATAACTTCAAAGAAGAGGTGCAGCAGCTGTCAGAGAGCAAAGATATGCCTCGCTCATGCAGGAAGGGCACCCCTTTCTTTACGCAAAGTCTAAAAATCAGGAAAACGCAGCAGTAAATATGAGGCTGCCTTTGACTGACAGCTTCCCTTCCTGCCTGTGCCTCTAGCCCAAATCCCAGAAACATCTGTCACATACACTTGACTGTGTTTGGTTTTTATCTTAACGAATCTTTACGACTAAATAAACTAGTAAGATGTGAGAAAACTTCCAAGTTCTCAGAAAGCTGACGTTTGCTCAGAAATGCCCGGATGATTTCAGTCCTCTCAGTTCATTGATAGAGAAGGAGGTTCAAGGGAGAAGTAAGACATGTTAAAAGCCTACCACTGCCTCTGGTTAAGAAAGAAAACTGGAAATTATCATAACTATTAGCGTGTGGTTAGAAAGAATTTTTAAAATATCATAAATGTTATAAAAACACTTAGATATTTTCATAACTTCTAAACATTATCATGTTCCTGGTTAATATAAGAAGAATTTTTTTTATCAAAAAGGATGTCAAAGCCAGAATCCACTGATGAGAAAATACTTCTAACAATCTAAATAAGTAACCAAACCTCTCTCTTTCAAAGAAAAAAAGAGATACCTCTGTAAAGCAGATGCAGCAATGCAAAGCGAGATACATGAATTTAGACGTTCATTACATTTGTATACCCCACATCAGTATTCTTAAAAACTGCAAGTAATCTCAGAGATCCTGTGTGCTGGAGCTGAGACCAGAATCCAGGGCTCCTAATCCTGAATTCAGTTTTATGTCCCACTGTATCCACTGCCACTGCAGGGGGTCACAGAGTGGTCTTCAAAGAACCCCCCATAAACCACCCCCATATCTGATATTGGCATAACGGATCCAAAATAAAGCCATCTGGACAATTTTGATTGTGATCCTGAGATGCCACCTCATCCAAAATAAGCCTCTCTCGCTCTGATTTCCAACTGACTGACAATCCACAGCACACCTTCCAATGTGATCACGTTTGGCTTGGGCTTGTGGCTTGCATGTTAGTCCACCCCCACCCTGACCCCATGAATAATCACCTCTGCAACTGAAGTTCAGACAACAGGCATCCTGCCTCCTGCTTTATATCGCAGGCATTTTAAAGAGACACCCCTGTGGTCTTAATTCCTGGACAACAATCATTTACACTGTACAAAACTTAAAACTCTAGGGAGGCAGTTAAGTAATTTAGCATTTTTGTTTCATGTAAAAATATTATTTCTAGTTCATAATGGGAAGTTCAAAAACATTGTTTCTTATCATTAAAAGCTCTCAGAAGTGTGTAATCTGGGCTCTTTATAGGTATGTTCCCTATAAAATGCCCTGAGGAACAGAATACAAGTCTTTCTACAAAGAAATACCTTCAATATCTTTTGTTGTTTGAGGAAAGGTCTTTAATTTAGAGTTGAATAGTCATACAGATAAACACTTCAACGTCCTTGGAATCTGCAGATAGTTTATAACAAGCTTTTAAGACAAATGAAGAGTGTTTTTCATCTGTTATGTTGTGATGACCGTGAATTGGAAGTAGAGGGTATACAGGCTCATCCATTCAAGAAATTTTTTTTCATCCCATTCTGTTCCAGACTCTCCAAGGCAGTTGGACACACATGGATCTGACCCTCAGGGATCTTATAGTCAAGTCAGGGTTCCGTACAGGATTGAATAGTGTGTCTCCTCACAATGCCCCTGCACAATTCATGTCCACCAAGAACCTCAGAACATGACTTTACTCAGAAATAGGGTCTTTGCAGATATAATTAAGGTGTAAATTAAGAAAAGGTCATACTGGATTAGGGTAAGACTTAAATCTAGTCATTGTCATCCATATGAAAAGAGGAGAGGGCGCACAGACATAGATACACAGAGGCCATGTGCATGTGAAGGCGGAGGCAGAGACTAGAGTGATACAATTACAAACCAAGGAAGGCCCAACATTGCTGGCCACAGCTGGAGCTACAATCAGCCCCCTCCCAGGAGCCTTTGAGGGATGGTGGCCTGCAAACACTGACTTGGTACTTCCAGACTCCAGAACTGTGAGAGAAGAGATTGCTGTTGTTTTAAGCCACTCAGTTTGAGGTAATTTGTTACAGCAGGTCTAGAAAACTAATACAGGCTCCATCTTCAAACAGTCTGATTTAATTGGCCTGGTGTAAACTTGGGCATCAGTATTTTCATGAAAGCTCCCTAGGTGATTCTAATGTTTTAGACCCATCACTCTAGATTGGTGGCTTTCAAAGTCTTCATTAGCATCAGCATCAACTGGGAACTTATTACAAATGAAAATTCTCTGGCCCCACACAGGCTTCCCAAATTAAAAATTCTAGGGGTAGGGCCCAGCAATTCGTAGCTTAACAAGCACTCCAGGTCATTCTGATGCCACTAATGTTTGAGAACCATTGTTCTGGTTGATAGGGGATCCAGGGAGCAATGGAAAATAATCAGTGAACAGGAATGGAGCAGAGCAATAGGCAGACATATTTTAGAAAGTAAGGGAGGAGTGTTCATGTGTTCTTCTGGCGGCACTGTGAGAGTACATCTGAAAATGTCAACATCATGCTTGGTGTTGCTTAGAGGTATGTGTCCAATCAATCATCTGCCAAGTGCAATTTTTGAAGACATACTGTTTTCAAATGTGCAGGCAGCCCTGACAATTTTGTTACTATTCAGGTCTATAGCCACCCAGACTCTACATTAAGATTGTATCTGTACGCACATCCCAGCAGGCAGAGAAGGAGGGCAATCTGAATACCTGAGATGAAAAACTTCATTGAGGCCAACTTCTTTTAACTTCAATTATTAGAAAACTGGCTCCCCTTGCCACTTCTTTTACCCACAGCCCAAAGAACAAAACAGGCCAATACACTTCATTTTGGCACGGAATTATGCTCTTTGCCAGAATCAAGCTATGTGAGGCTACAGTAACCACTAAGGATGGGGTAACTGGAAATTGTCCCCCTTGATGAAAAGCGTTGGTAAAATCCACATGGCTGGCAGTTGATAGAAAAGAAAATATTAGATGTTATTTTTTCAGAGATGAATGGTTTGAGAATCCAATTTAAATATTTTTATTTGTTTCCTTGATTTTCATCCTTCTGACCTCAAGCAGAAAGGCTTCCCTGGCAGCATTGATAACATTCTTTCTCAAGTTGCTTGCATTGTAGTCACATATTCAGCTCAAGTTTCTCTTATGCCTTTATGGCCCTACTATTGCATTGTCAACTTAAGGTACCATTTCCACAAGCATTAAGGTAAAAAGTACTAATTTTTCTTATAACTCTTTCTCTTACTCGCTCTAGATTTAGAAACTACCTTGATAGAAATAATTAACTTCTCATTTCTAACCAGTACAAGAGAAAGTATTAAGTAGACTAAGTTTGTCTTTGAAGTCCCTTTCCCTTTCTTTCTGAGGTACTCATCCCATGCACCCAGTGCCCACAAGCAGACCCATGATTGCTCAGGCCTCCCATTTAATGGGAGTGGTCCCTCATTTTTCAGATTTTTCTTCTTCTCTCATGCGTCATAGTACATTGGTCTTGTGGATTAAGAAGACCATGCTCTCCCTTGGTTTAACAATAGGGATGATGAGTTGATGATTGCTATTTGTTAATTAGCTGAGGTTACCCTTACTAGATAAAGTAATATTTTAACCCACATGAGTACGGATATCTTCTTACAAGAAGAAATGTGAATGATAAGAACAGCAAGCTCTTGCAGACATAGCTTGGGGACATCTGCCTTGGAGTCCTTACAGAGTTGCCCCAACTGGTTGGCAGCTCATTGATGTCAAAATCAGCTAGTGTGTTTGTTAAATGAAATGTAGACTATTGCATTCCACCCTAGATCTTCTGAATCAGAGTCTCAGTGTTTGGCACTCAGGACTCTGAATGTTAACAACTCTCCTGATTATTTTTTGGTACACTGGAGATTGAGACTCTCTGGTGTCATGGAAAGATCCCCAGATTCAGAGTTGACAGGCCTCATTTTTAATCTCATCTTCACCATGTGCCATGTAGTCCTGGGCAAGTCATGCCTCTAGTTTTGGGATTTAGTTCCTTTACTGTCAAATGCAGGTAAGAATACTTGCCATGTCCACCTTAGAGAATAGTCGTAAGGCTCAAATGAGTTAAAGCCTCCAAACTGCCCTTTGTATTACAGGGTTGGCACTAGAGTGAGGCGAGTCAGCCACTCACCGTAGGGCACAAAATTAAAGGGGGTCCCAAAATACCCATAATCAAGATAAATAATATTTTAATGCAATATTTTTAAATGAAAATTACTGGATAAAAGTCCATACTGATCAAAACATCAACACTTTCGATGTTTTGGGTTAGTGTTACTAATTTTTTTCTTTTGGCCTCAGACTCATAGTATAGCATGGCATTGTTACTAATATTTATTTTAAAATTTGATATTGTGTTTACTGTAGATATTTTGCATTAACTTTGATTTTTAAAAAGTGCTTCCATCAAAATATTGTTTTCTTGATTAATTGATTACTGTGTGATACTCCCTTAAAAGTTGCACCTCAGGTTAGTAACTTACTGGTCTCTCCCTAGTCCCAGCCCTATAATCTAGAATAGGTTGTGCAGATGCATGTTGTCATTTTTACCAGGCTTGGACTCTCCCAGCTCCAGCGTTTCCTCAAATAGTTGCATGCACACGACAAAAAGCTGTGCTGGCATCCTAGCTAAATTCTGCCTGTTGAATGGTGGGAATGTGGTCCTAAGAACATAAGGCAGGCACAGGCATGCGCACAGTGCTTTTCAGGGGCCTCCCTTTCCCAGGGGCACAGAAGAAGAACTCTTCATTGGGATATTTGGTGTGAGAACCAGTTTAACTGGCGTAACTGGAAAATTTGCCTTTGTTTAAGGAAGAACTCTTTCTGCAACTACACACCCATCCCAGAAAAGTTTGGATTTGCAAGTTGCCTCATGTGCAGCTTTTTATTTCAAAGGCTACTATTATATACCAAGGTTACCAAGTCCCCTTGTGTTGGAGGCAAGAATAAGTGACACCCAGGCTGGGTAGCTGGTAACCAGGGAGTGGAATGATTAAAAAGAGGCCTGAGGGTCAGGGAGAGGGGTGACCTGCTGGGCAGAAAGAAGCCCCTGCTCTTACACTGCTTTTGGTTTCCCCACCTCACTCAAGGAGGCTGCTTAAAATCCAGTAATGAGAAGACACAGGGCCAGGTGGAACAGGTGCCCGCCTCCTCACCTCCTGCCAGCCTGAAAGGTCTAGGATAATACCTTCAACTTCCCTTATAGGACTCCAACATTTGTGCTGTGTTTGCTGTACAAGGAGGAAAAGTGGGAAGAAAGCATGGCATAAAAAGGGGGAGGAGACCCAGCATAAGAAGCCCAGCTCAGCGGGCCAGAGGACCCTGGATCCATGAGAGTAAGCATCCGGCCTTTGCAAAGCAACAGATAAACTTGGAGATGCCCAACTCCAGAGCGACAACAGAGTTAGCCTGGGTCTGCAGGTAAGCAGATGACAGCCACAGGAGGAAAAAAAAAAAAGGTAGAAAAAAAATTAACTCTCTAAGTCTTTGACACCAGATACTAAAACTAAAGGCCAGCAACATTGTGACATACTCAACCGTGATCTTTACACGTGATATTTTCCTTTCTTCCAATTCTTCCCTGGTCCTTACATAATGATTTTTAGAATAAAGTGTTATACAGCTTATCACATATCAGAAAAACCTTGGTGGCTGTGGTAAGCTAAACAATGTCCCCCTTACCCCCCACAAAAAGTCCACATTATAATCCATGTACACTGTGAACATGTTGGCTTACAGAGTAAAAGAGATTTTGCAGATATGATTAAGAATGCAGAGATGGGAGGCCAGGCGTAGTGGCTCATGCCTGTAATCCCAGCACTTTGCAAGGCCGAGGTGGACAGATCACAAGTTCAGGAGTTCAAGACCAACCTGGCCAACATAGTGAAACCCTGTCTCTATTAAGAATACAGAAAATACAGGGCATGGTGGCATGCGCCTGTAGTCCCAGCTACTTGGGAGGCTGAGGTAGGATAATCACTTGAACCCAGGAGGCCAAGGTTGCAGTGAGCCGAGATCGCACCACTGCACTCCAGCCTGGGCAATAGAGTGAGACTCCACCTCAAAAAAAAAAAAAAAAAAAAAAAAGAATGTAGAGATGGGAAGATTAGCTTGGGTTATTTAGGTGGGCCCAAAGCAATCACAAGGGCCTTTATAAATGGAGGCAGGAGGCTCAGAGTGAGTAGGAGGAGTTGGGAAGATCAAAGCAAGAGGAGGGATTGAGGGAGGGGCTTCTAGATGCTGAAAAAGTCAAGGAATCCCCTGAAGCCTTGAGAAGGAATGCAGTCCTGCTAACATCCATGTTTTAGGCTTCTGACCTCCAGAACTGTAAGAGAATCAATTTGCCTTGTTTTAAGCCACTAAGTTTATGGAGATTTGTTACAGTAGCAATAGGAAACCAATATAGTTGGTAATGGGTTAACACTGGTCATTCTGACTTAAAAAATTTTGCCTAGACTTAATAAGCAATGACCTTGTCTTGTAAGTAATTTGGTGGCAAATGTTCAAAACTGGCAAAACATTTACTTCGCTGTGTATTTGGAGGACCTCAAAGTTTGTTTGAGCTGAACATGGCATAGTGCACAGGCCTGACACTTTGGCAGCACCCATGTCAGTGCTATATACTATGAGGCACTTAATAAATGCTTTTTGTCAGTCTCAACAGGAATAACAGCTGACTGTAGGATATGGTGTTCCCATTTCCACCAGGGTAAGACAATTTAGAAAGTTGGATTCCAGAGACTTGAATCATGAAATCTAATATTTACAGCTCCACCTCAAGAAAAAAGAAGTGGGCAAGGTAATGGAACAAAGATATAAATGGATATAAATGGGTAACTTTTCTGTATGGTGAGAGGATTTTTAAGGCACCCAGTGATGCCAGTGAAATTGAGTCATTCGGAAGAGTTAGGATTTGGGAGGCGCTTTTTGGTAAGTGAGTGGAATAACTTCTTGTCAATTCCATGCTGGCTTCTGTATCTACTTGTGGCCATGCCTTTTCTGTTCATAATGGTTATGGCACTGATGTGTTTACACTTTCCAGTGGAGTCTGAATCAACAAGGTTTATACACACACAGATAATTCAAATCCATAAAGCCATGCCTGTGATTCTCTTCAGGTATTTACTGACTTAGAGTGAGACACATGTAGCCACACTTAGCATTTTACCTTATGGTTTCTGGCTCTCTTCTCTGGTTCACATGAAGAGCTTCTCATTCATCTTCACAGTTAGAGAGATGCCATAGTTTGATGTGCCTTTGAAAAAGAACTTCACTCTATAGAGAGTTAAAGTCATTGTGGTGAAGATGAAGTTGAAAACAGGCATATGATTTTCAGATTCCTTTCTGAGCAGCGACCACAGGCAGGAAGGAGAATGTACTCAGTGGCTACATGAGTACACTCTGTAGGGCATAACCTCTGGACCTATTCTGCCAGCGATTGCATCCCACATTGCCACTTACTAGCTATCTTTTTTTGGGGAACTTACTTAACAGTTATACCTCAGTTTTCTCATCTCTAAAATGGGGATGATTGGATCTACCCTATAGGGTTGTTGTGAAGATTGAATAAGTTAATATGCATGAAGTGTAATCAAATGATTCCTGGCCCACAGCATTTATCATTCTTCTTCATAGGTCCCTGACTCTTTCCACTGCTCCACTGAGCCCCCCACCATCCTTGGTGCACTGTGAAGATTGTTCTTGCCTGCCTGGCTGCCATTCGGGTGACCTCTACAATCTGGCCCCAGCAGAAAGAACTTGCTAGCAGCATATCAATAGCAGAGATGGAAGTCTGGTCATATGGTGCCCACATCTATTGAAGTAAACATGCTGATACCAGATATCCCTGGCTCTCTGTCTTCAAGGCACATGGTAGAACTATACTTCCTAGCTTTCTGTGTGGCTGGGTGGGTCACATGACAAGTTCAGACAGATGAATTATGATTAGAAGCATTTAATTGTTAATACATATTCTAGTGCTCTTTCCCTCTGTCATCACAACTGACAATGTTTCAGACAGTGACTTCTCCAACAGGCTGGTTCCAGAGTGAAAATAGAGCCCAGTAGAGTCTGTAGCTGATGCAATATGGACATGTAGGGTGAGTGAGAAAATGCTTTTGTTGGGTTAAGCATCTGAGGTTTGATGGTTTGTTGCTACTGCAGCACAACCTTACCCATCCTAACAAATATGACTATTATTGACTAACCTGACAACAGAAGAGTCTTTCCACTTCTGCTGTGATGAGGAACAGAGTTTTTTCCCTGTTATATCTTAATATTAGATAGCAGCAGCCTCTGGAAATAGTTCTTTCTCTACCACTTCTTACCCATGTGGCATAAAGCCAGCTACTAAACCTCTTCACTTTTCAGCTTTCCCTTTTAAAAGTGGGAGTAAATAAGACCTTTCTCATGGAGTTATTGATCAAATGAAATAATTAAATAACGAGTATTTAAATTTTAAATTTAAATGAAAATTCAAATGACATAATGCCTATGAAGTACTTATTTAGTCCATAATATCCTCAGTAAATGGTAGTTAGCCTTACTAACACAAAGGAAATGGACAAAGCCATGCCATTTTCCAAAGTAGTTTCTAGGACCATATTATCTCTAAAAATCCCAACTTTCTGCTGTAAATTTGAACTAATCCAGAACAGGCTAATCCATTGCAATGGCCTATTCATCCTTCTTCTTAGAGTTTAGCTATCAGTCATCTTGTTGCTGAGAACAAAGCCAGCCTAGTTGTTTGTAAGCAAGCCTCTAGAGAGACAGAAACTGTCTTGTATTTCTTTGAATATCCTCTACTGCCTCTAACACTGTGCCTCGGCTATATTTCTGGATCTTTATTTAATTGTTTTGAATGCTTCTTATGTTTAATTTCTGCCATATCCATTAGGAAAACAACGTAATCCTTCCTCCAACACCGATGGTATAAGCCTCCATGACCGGGAAACATTTGCCCCCAAGTTTAAAGAATTTAGTTCTGTAAGGCTTGTTGACCCATCTGACAGGAATTCCTGTACCAAGTGGTCAGTCAGTGAAGATCTCTTTCCACTGGTAACTTTATCAAGAAAGTAAGATACAAGACTGTATGTAAAGTATATTATCCTATGTGAAATCAAGGGACAGAAAATAACTGGAAGGAAATATTCCAAAATGTTAGCAGTAGTTTCTCCCGGAGAATGTGATGTATACATTTGGATGGGTGATATATAAAGTACTTTTCATAGATCTGGGCAAGAGATATTTTAGAGGGCTCCACATACCACAATCACCCACAAATAAATGTATTAAAGAGCACACAGATGCCTTTATCACTCAGGATGTGGCACTCAGAGCTGGCCCAGCATAGTCTATAACACTTAACATCACTCTCATGACCACACTGCTCAGGTCCTAGGGAAGTGTGCCTCTGTATCTCTTCCCTGTATCCTTAAAAGAAAAGATGACCTAATTTGAAAGTTGATAAAAATCAGGGATTATGATGATGTTGCTTCAGAATTCTTGGAGGACGTAAGAGAAAAATAGTGCTGGGTTATGAGAAGAACAAAACTTACCAAATTCCTCCCTGAAGATAACATAAATGCAATAGATTCTTTTACAACAAAGTGTCATTTCTCAATAATGCCAAGAATCCTTTTTCATGCTTCTCTTCTTGTTCACATTCCTGGTTCCCATGCTACTCAATTAACATAATATTCAGAAAAGTTGCAGATGGTGATTTAGGAACATGTTGTAATATTAACATTTCATATTACCCTTAAATTTGCATGCATGCATCATATGTGTATCATGGTACCAATTCTTTATATTGGTAACTAGGTGGATATAGAACATTTACAATGTGAATAGTGTTATCTCTATAAAAACAAGATTTAATTAAAATGTTCATATATGAAATGAAATTTTGGCATATATTAATTATAACTTGGATTTTACCTTTTAAAGTTAATAGATCATTTTGAATATTTTAAAAGACTTTAATAAACATATAAAATAACTTTTAGATTGTTTTTCTATTCAATTTATATATTCTCATTAAAATATGTTTAAATATACTTTGAATATAATTGCAATTTTTAAAGCCTTCAGAGAATTACAATGAGTTGAAAACAAATTATGTAAACATATTGATTATAACAACAAAGTACTTTTTCTGAAATAAAGGCAAGAAAACTTAACTGATGGAACAAATACAAATTTATAAGTTACGTATACATTTTATTACTCATTCAACCATCACAACCCATAGACAGAAAAGCCAGATGTATGCCATAATAACTTTAGCAGACATTTTGCCAGCCTTCAGACATATAAAAACTGTAGCTTTACATATATCCTTTGCTTTTTGTCACTATGAGGGTATATTTCTCAAGGTAGGAGGATAAATATATTTTATATAACAGTTTATAATAAAGAACTGAAATCCCCTCCAAGGGTCAGCTTCAACAATCCCCTTGGGTCTATTTGTTCAGACTGGAGTGTCCATCCAGTTTCCCATGCCAGACGAAATATAGATGAAAGCCCAGACTGTCCCCAAATGGCAGTGTCCCTGACCTCGTGGCAGGACAGAAAGAAGGCAGCCTGGAGGAAGTGACTGATTCACCATGGAACAGCGGTTTCACCAAAACAGAGACCTCCCAGCAGCTCCAGGCCAGAATTATAAAGAACTTTAAGAACCAGTTCCACAGGAAGAGGGCCAATTATGTCCCCAGACTGACATGGTACAAAAGAATAGCAGAAAGATACAACCCTGGGGAAAATTGAGCCCCACAAATAATGTCTCTTGTGGTGAGTTTCCTTTAGTTTCCTCAGGCCCAACACTCAGATATTCTTAAGACAAAAAGTTCTTGAACTTGACAGACAGCTGAGAGCACCAACTATCTCAAGAGCAGAGACTCTTTGGAAATGATAAGGTGCAAACACTGTCAAATGGCTCCCTTTGCATTGAACTGCAATCTCCAGCTATAAAGGCTGCCAGGACCAGCAGGGGCAAAGCTCTGAGCCATCCCTCAAAACACCAGGCTTCTGGTATCTGAGGGCTCCTGGACTTCCTAATGACAGAGGCCTAGGCAGCCCAGGTTTGGGATACGTTTTTTTGGAGGAATCTCCAGGCACGACACTCAGAGAAACAAGCAGCCAGTGAAGAAGGTTGTGTAGCCCCTGTTGGGAAGGTTACTAAGCAGGGGACCCTAGGTGAAGACAGCTGGGCTTCTCTGTTTTTTTTTTTTTAAACCATCTTTCTCAGAGCTTAGCTGGACAAAGCCCTGCTGAAGCCAGAGGTGGGCCCATGGATGTGTATCTTCTTCTGGCACTGTGCTGCTGGGAAGCGTCTCCCTTGAGAGAAATTATAAATGTTCTGGGCTCCTCAGAATTCCAGATTGTTTCTAAAGGCAGCAGTGCAACCTAGATGGATTCTCATGTAAAGCACCCAGTCAGAAATTGATCTGGGAAGCTGGTGTTAATTCACGAAGACAGGATTACTGGATACTGAAGGACTGAATGCTGCTCAGACCTCACTGAAGGTTCACACATTTGAGAAAGCCTGGCATACTCTACCCTGACTTGCCATATGCACATATTCACAAAATGTCCAAGATCTGGTACTATCAGTGTTCAGGTTATTCATTGCTGCCCTCATTTATCAAATACTTATTTAGAGTATTTGATATCAAATACTTATTTAGAGTATTTGATATCAAATACTTATTTAGAGTATTTGATATCAAATACTTATTTAGAGTATTTGATATCAAATACTTATTTAGAGTATTTGATATCAAATACTTATTTAGAGTATTTGATATCAAATACTTATTTAGTGCCTGAGGGTTAAAACACAGGAATGTGAAGAATCACAATATTCTTGAGCCCTTAGATTTTTTTTAGGTGTTTAAACAAGGCCAGGTTCTTCTCTAGGTGGAATAAAGTAAAATTCAGTTTGATGGGGGACGGAGGGTATAAACAACTTCTCTATGGCCTAGACCATTGAAAACACCAAAATTTGTATTCTAAATTTTAATATGGAAATGTGGTCTGGCCTGATTTTCTTCCTGTGTTATTGCTTTAATCTAATCCTTCTGTAGCAGCAGTCCCCAGCGCAGAGGCTTGTACTAGTGAATGTGTTTGGGGAGTACACAGAGGGAGAAATGTGGGTGTTCTCTGTGTGTGTTCAAAGCTTTTGATGTTAAAAAACATACTCTCTAGCCTGTGGCTTTTCCACTTACGAGACTTGCTCAGGCCTTGTGTATCACTTCCTAGGCCTCCACTCACATTTGACCCCCATGAAATGTCCTCCAGTCTCTGTCCAGCTCTGTTTCTTGCTCTTGGTGCCCTACTTATACATCAAAAAACCAGTAAAGCTGCCCAGGAGTACTGAACTCTAATGCCAAGAATAAAAAATCACAATAAAATGTATAGCTAATTTTTCCTGTTTTTAATGTGCCAAGTACTTTACTTTCTGTTTCATTTTATATTCACAAGCTTTGCCATTGTTCTAATGAGGTGCTGAGGTCACGAGACTGGCCTGAGATCACATTGCTGGAACGCAGCAGATCTAGGATTCAAAACCAAATCTCTTTGACCCCCAAACCTATGCTCTGAGTTAAAATGCTGTGTGGTCTCCTCTAAGCCCCTTTAACACTCACTGTCTCCAGTTATGTCCTCTTTTCCATTCCTAATATGATCCGTCTTCTGTTCTTAATACAGGCAGCCAGAATTTTGTTCCTTTTCAAAGTTTCTTCAGAGAACCAATCTCAATTGTTGATCGATGTTTTCTGTTTCATTAATTTTCAACCTGATATTTTATTTCCTTTGACCTAGTTTCTTAAGACTTATTCTGCTGTTCCTGTTTTTAATTTCTCAAATTTGATCAGTTCATTAATCTCTACCTTTCATCAATATGAGCACTCAGGTAATACATTTTCCTCTAAGTACAGCTTTTCTTCAAGTTTTGATATTTAGTCTTGTTAATCATTCGATTCCAAGTATCTTCCATTATATTAATTCTATGATGCAGAAATTATTTGAGGAGTTTTTAAACTTACAAGTATGCATTTCTCTAACTTAATTGTAAGAGTATAGAATGTATGATACCAGACTTTTCTGTCCTAGCACATGGTCACTTTTCATAAATTTTCTGTGTGCTTGGAAAGAATGCATATTTGCCAGTTGTTGAGCAATGTTCTTATATAGATTCATTTTACCAAATGTGTTGGTGGTATTGTTTGGTTCTATATACTTTGCAATTTTTGTCTTTTGATCTTTTAATTACTGTAATAGAAATATGTATCAAATTTCTCACAATGGTGGTGAATTTAGCAACTTCTTGTAGTTTAACCAGAATTTCCTTTTGATGAAATAAATCTCTGTTTCTAAGTCGATATACACCTAGAATGGTTAAAGCTTCCCAGTGAATTACATCATTCATCATTATCCACCTCCTTAAAGTTTATTGTGTCTGATATTAATTACTTTCTCTTCATCAGCTTTCTCTTAAGCTGTATTTTCCTGGTATATATTTTTGTTAATCTTTTAATTTTAAACACTTCTGGTGGAATGACTTCATATTTTAGGTGTCCCTTTAGGGAAAACATAACCAAACTGGATTTTATTTTTTAATTCGGTATGATAGTCATTATCTTTTAACTAGAAGGTGTAACCTATTTACTCTTATTGTGAATTGTGATATATTTAGTCCATGTTATCATTTCTTCAATCTTATCATTTGGGTTTATTTGTTTTTTTCTGATAGTGTTCTTTCCTGCCTCAATTTAAAAATGTGTTCCATTTTATTTTTTCTATTAGTATAAAAATTATAAATTTGATTCCCATTCTTTAATGATTTTCTATAAATATTAACATTAATATTTAAGTTAAGTCCATGTCTTTGCATTCTCTTGGAATACTAAGACTTTATAATGCTTTCATTATAATGATACCACCACTCCATAGACAAATAATATGCTATTTCTGCTTATTTTTTTTTAGCTCTACATGTTAAACATTTATTATTATTTTATACAGTTTCTATTTATTTAGATATACTGATATTTTTAATATTTATTCTTACATAATGGGGGTTTCGTTATGGGACGATATTCTTTCTTCCTAATGCACTTTTTCTAGAAGTTTCTTTAGTACGATGTTGACGGTACATGGACAAAAAGAAAAGAACAACAGACACCAGGGCCTCCACCAGGTGAAGGACAGGAGGAGGTAAGAATCAAAAAACTAACTATCGGGTACTATGCTTATTACCTGGGTAACAAAAACATCTGTACACACAACCCCAATGACATATAATTTACTATTATAACAAACCTGCACCTGTACCCCTCAACTTAAAATAAACGTTTAAATAAACAAGCAAATAAAAAGATGTTGGTGGTAAGGTCTTTTTTTTTTTAATCTCAAAATGACTTTAATTCGACCTTGTTCAAAAGAGGTGATTTTACTGGGTGTATAATTCTTTTCCTTTCTTTCTTCTTTTTTTTGTAGAGATGGGGTCTTGCTATGTTTCCCAGCCTGATCTTGAACTCCTGGCCTCAACTGATCCTCCCCACTTGGCCTTCCAAGTGCTGGGATTACAGATGTGAGCCACGGTGCCCAGCCTACAGTTATTTTCTTTTAGAAATGTGTAGAAACATTCCACTCTCCTCTGGCCTCACTGTGCTCTAGAGAAGTCCCTCTATAAGTAATAGCAATAACAAGCAGTTAAAGCTTTTTTTACAGTGTTACAATGTGCCAGGGACTATTTTTGGCTATATCTATATACATTGTCATTTAATTTTCATGTCCATACTATGAAGTAGGTACTATTGTAGGTCGAGTATCCCTTATCCAAAATGCTTGGGACCTGAAGTGTTTTTGATTTCAGATATTTTCGGATTTGGAAATATTTGCACTTACATAATGATATATTATTTCACTTATGTTCATTTAAGTTCATTTATGTTTCACATATACCTTATACAAATAGCCGGAAGGTAATTTTGTACAATATTCTAAACAATTTTGTGCATGAAGTACATGAAACAAAGTTTTGACTGCATTTTGTCTACAACCCAACACATGAGGTCAGGTGTGAAATTTTCCACTTCTGGTGCTCAAAAAGCTTCCAATTTTTGAGTATTTCGAACTTTCGGCTTAGGGATGCTCAACTTGTATTGTTATTTCCATTTTATAGATGAGGAAACTCAGGCAATTAGTTCGCTAGTGATAGAGCCTAGATTTGAATCGAGGCAGTCTGGCTTCAGAGTCTGTACTCTTAACCATTACACTGGCAGCATTTCCGACTTATTTCAAGTAGAACTTTTTTTAAATTTTTACTTCTTAGGATTTGTGTAACTTCCCACATTTTATGTGACCTGTTATTCTACAGTTCTGGAAGATTATCAGACATTATCACTTCAGATATTGGCTTTTCTCTATCGTTTGTCTGAAATATCCAGTAGACATACGTGTAAACTTATTAATCCCTCATATTTTTCGCATTTCTAATCTTTGTCTAAGAAGCATAATAGTCTCTTCAGCTGGAGTTTCTGTTGCATCATTTTTTCTTTTTTTTGGTCCTAATTGGCTTAACCCATTGCTTATCTAATTTAATTACTATATTTTTAGTTCTAGAAATTGTATTTGGTTCGTTTTAAAATTAGCTTGGTACTTTTTATAGTCTTTTCTTGTTTGCTTGGTTATATTTTTAATGGTCTCTTTAATTATTTAAGTGTATCTCATACAGTTATTTTTTATATTTATCCAACAATTTTAATAGCTTTGGTCTTTATTGTTTCTGCTAACTTTCTAATGGTGGTTTCTTTCCTCATATATGTTTTAATCTTGCATGTGTTTCCTGGAATGATAATTCTTTTAGACCTAAGTTTGGGTGGGTTTCTTCAAACAGAGTTCACATTGACCTCCACTGTACCCCTGGAGGCACCTCCACATGTAGACCATTTTACAGTAAATTATCAGCTTCGACGGTATAAATAATGTTCCCAATCCACATGAAGGCAGGCTTCTGCTTGTGAAATTATATCTATTTATTATTTCCCCAACATAGGCCAGAGAAAAAGATAAACAAGTTTACTCACTTCCTTTCTCTAGGAGGTGGTCCCCACCATTCACTCAATTTTAAGGGGTCCAGGCTTTCTAAAATTGATAGTGGATCATACTTCCCACCTTAGACATGCGCTTGACTTAGTCACTCATCCCTCACTGGAGCTCTTGAAAACCTAAGCTCTGGCTTCCAGGACAACTACCTACTCTAGTGCTCCTTCCCCTCGCTGGATTTCTGCTTTCCTCCAAGGTTTTCTTTACAGTCTTGCCAGCTCATCTATGCCTTTAACATTACTTTTTAAAAAATATTGTATCCACCATATCTGATCATCACTTTTTAAGCTACCTACAAATACCATTATATCAGCAACAGAAACCAAGAGTTACAGTTTTTACTGTTCCTCGGCTACCTGTTTGCTATCCTATATTAAGTTTTCTTTTTGTCTTATGTCTCCACATCTTTTGAATAAGTGCTTCATGAGGAACATTCAAATAAAAATTTTACTTCTGCTCATACAGACATTTTTCAATGATCTGTTTTTCTCTTCATTTTGATTGCTCAAAGATTCATGGACTTTCAAAATTCTAACCCAATATCCGGAACGTGAATGGTAATCTTATCTTCATAGATTCTCTATTTTAAACAATATTACACAAAATGTTGAATCTACTTTCTACCTCCTTAAACTCCATTCTCCTCCAAGATATTTCTACTTTTAAATCTTCCACATTTTCCTAAAGCAATATCCCATAAAAATCAGCAAGTTTTTGCAACAATTGAAGAAAAAAAATCTGACCAGAATTCCTAGTAAGACTTGGCAGAAATGATCTTCCCCTACAATTCATGTGTCCCAACATTAAAAATCTTCCAGAGGGATTTTCAATGACCACTTGGACTTCTTTCTAGAAAGTTTTCAGAGGTTGTTATCCATAGAAGGGAAACAAGCAGGTTACATATGGAGAAATTGCAAAGTCTTCAATTTGATTTAAGATCATAAAACAGGCCATTGTCATGGATTCCCATAGAGACTGGGACATCCCCCTACAGTTTACCCATATTATAATACTTCTGAAGTATTTCAGAGTCATCTGAATGGTACTTGTCAAATGTGAGACCACCTGACACTGTTCGGGTACTTTTTCTGCAGAAGCTGTATCACTTATTACAAATCAATAAATTAGGGCCCCCAAACAGAGCACCAGAAAAGCCATTTGTACTTTGGGAAGATCATGGCAGACAGGAGGCAGGACTAGAATGCAGTTCCCACTCAGACAGACAGAGCAGCTTGTGGAGGCTCGCCTTATGAACTTTTGTTCCAGAATAACTGCAGGAATAAATCAGGGAAGCCAAGAGAACCCACAGACCCTCTGAAAGAAACAGATTGCTCCTGCAGGACCCGGAAGACCCTCCAAATACTAACAGGTGCTGGTATCCATTGCTGAGAGACCCACAGAGAGTTCACATCACAGGACTCCGTGCAGACGACCCCCAGTACCAGCTCAGAGCCTGGTAGACTTGCTGGGCGGCTAGATCCAGAACAGAGATAACACTACAGCTTGGCTCTCAGGAAGCCACATCCCTAGGACAAGTGCAGGGAGTACTGCATCAAGGAAACACCCTGTGGGACAACAGAATCTGAACAACAGCCTTCAGCCTTAGACCTTCCCGCTGACAGAGCCTACACAAATGAAAAGGAACCAGAAAACCAACTCTCAGTAATATGACAAAACTAGGTTCTTTAACACCCCTCAAAAACCACACTAGCTCACCAACAATGGATCCAAACCAAGAAGAAATCCCCGATTTACCTGAAAAAGAATTCAAAAGGTTAGTTATTAAGCTAATCAAGGAGATAACAGAGAAAGGTGAAGCCCAATTTAAGGAAGTCAAAAAAAGATACCAGAAATGAGGGGAGAAATTTTCAATAAAATAGACAGCATAAATGAAAAACAATCAAAACTTCAGGAAACAATGGATGCACTTATAGAAATGTAAAATGCTCTGGAAATTCTCAGCAATAGAATAGAACAAGCAAAAGAAGGAACATCAGAGCTCAAAGACAAGGTTTTTGCATTAACCCAATCCAACAAAGGCAAACTAAAAAGAGTAAGAAAATATGAACAAAGCCTTCAAGAAGTCTGGGATTATGTCAAATGACCAAACCTAAGAACAATTGGCATTCTTGAGGAAGAAGAGAAATCTGAAAGTTTAGAAAATACATTTAGGAGAATAATTGAGGAAAACTTCCCCAGCCTTGCTAGAGACGTAGACATCCAAATAAAAGAAGCTCAGCAAACACCTGGGAAATTCATTGCAAAAAGATCATCACCTAGGCACACTGTCATCAGGTTGTCTAAAGTCAAGACGAGGGAAAGGATCTTAAGAGCTGTGAGGCAAAAGCACCAGGTAACCTAAGAAGGAAAGCCTATCAGATTAACAGCAGATTTCTCAGCAGAAACCCTACAAGCTAGAAGGGAATGAAGCCCTATATTCAGCCTTTTTAAACAAAACAATTATCAGCCAAGAATTTTGTATCCAATGAAACTAAGCTTCACAAATGAAGGAAAGATACAGTCTTTTTCAGACAAACAGCTGAGAGAATTTGCCACTACCAACCTAGCACTACAAGAACTGCCAAAAGGAGCTCTAAATCTCGAAACAAATACTGGAAACACATCAAAACAGAACCTCTTTACAGCATAAATCTCATGGGACCTATAAAACAAAAATACAAAACAAACAAGCAAATAACAACAACAACAAAAAGATATACGGGCAACAAATGGCACAATTAATGGAATTGTACCTCACATCTCAATACTAATGTTGAATGTAAACAGCCTGAATGCTCCACTTAAAAGATGCAGAATTGCAGAATGGATAAGAATTCACCAACCAACTATCTGCTGCCTTCAAAAGACTCACCTAACACAAAAGAACTCACATAAACTTAAGGTAAAGGGGTGGAATAAGACCTTCCATGCAAATGGACACCAAAAGCTGGTAGGAGTAGCTATTCTTTTATTAGACAAAACAAACATTAAAGCAACAGCAGTTAAAAAAGACAAAGAGCGAGATTATATATTGATAAAAGGCCTTGTCCAAAAGGAAAATATCACAATCCTAAATATATATGCACCTAACACTAGAGTTCCCAAATTTATAAAACAATTACTAATAGATCTAAGAAATGAGATAGAGAGCAACACAATAATAGTAGGGTACTTCAATACTCCACTGACAACACTAGATAGGTCATCAAGACAGAAAGTCAAAAAAGAAACAATAGATTTAAACTATACCCTGGAACAAATGGACTTAACGGATATTTACAGAACATTCTACCCAACAACTGCAGAATATACATTCTATTCATCAATACATAGGACTTTCTCCAAGATAGACCATATGATAGGCCACAAAATGAGCCTCAATAAGTTTAAGGAACTTGAAATTATATCAAGCACTCTCTCAGATCACAGTGGAATAAAACTGGAAATTGACCCCAAAAGGAACCCTCAAAACCACGCAAATACACGGAAATGAAATAACCTGCTCCTGAATGATCATTGGGTCAAAAATGGAAATTAAAAAATTCTTTGAACTGAACAACAGTAGTGACACAATATATCAAGAGCTCTGGGATGCAGCAAAGGCAGTGCTAAAAGTAAAGTTTATAGCCCTAAACGCTTGCATCAAAAAGTCTGAAAGAGCACAAACTGACAATCTAAGGTCATACCTTAAGGAACTAGAGAAACAAAAATAAAACAAACCAAAACCCAGCAGAAGACAGGAAATAACCAAGATCAGAGCAGAACTAAATGAAACTGAAACAAAAATAAATAAATAAATTAAATAAATGAAACAAAAAGCTGGTTCTTTAAAAATATAAAACTGATAGACCATTAGCAAGATTAACCAAGAAAAGAAAAGAGAGAATCCAAATAAGCTCAATTAGAAATGAAATGGGATATATTACAACTGACATCACAAAAATACAAAAGATCACTCAAGGCTACTGTGACCACCTTTATGCACATAAACTAGAAAACCTAGAGGAGGTGGATAAATTCCTAGGAAGATACAATCCTCCTAACTTAAATCAGGAAGCATTAGATACCCTGAACAGACAAATAACAAGCAGCAAGATTGAAATGGTAATTTAAAAACTACAAAGAAAAAAAAAAGTCCAAGACCAGAAGGAATCACAGCAGAATTCTACCAGACATTCAAAGAAGAACTGGTACCAATCCTATTGACACTATTACACAAGATAGAGAAAGAAGGAATCCTCCCTAAATCATTTTATGAAGCCAGTATCACCCTAATACCAAAACCAGGAAAGGACATAACCAAAAAAGAAAACTACAGGCCAAAATCCCTGATGAACATAGATGCAAAAATCCTTAACAAAATACTAGCTAACTGAATCCAACAATATATCAAAAAGATAATCCACCATGATCAAGTGGGTTTCATACCAATGATGCAGGGATGGTTCAACCTATGCAAGTCAATAAATGCGATACACCGCATAAACAGAATTAAAAACAAAAATCACATGATCATCTCAATAGATGCAGAAAAAGCATTTGATAAAATCCAGCATCACTTTATGACTAAAACTCTCAGCAAAATTGGCATACAAGGGACATACCTCAATGTAATAAAAGCCATCTATGACAAACCCACAGCCAACATAATATTGAATGGGGAAAAGTTGAAAGCATTCCCTCTGAGAAGTGGAACAAGACAAGGATGCCTACTCTCACCACACCTCTTCAGCATACTATTGGATGTCCTAGCCAGAGCAATCAGACAAGAGAAAGAAATAAAAGACAAGTCAAACTGTTGCTGGAAGAGAAAGTCAAACTGTCACTGTTTGCTGATGATATGATTGTTTAACTAGAAAACCCTGAAGACTCCTCCAGAAAGCTCCTAGAACTGACGAAAGAATTCAGCAAAGTTTCCAGATACAAAATTAAGGTACACAAATCAGGAACTCTTCTATATGCCAACAGTGACCAATCTGAGAATCAAATAAAAAACTCAACTACTTTTACGATAGCTGCAAAAAATAATAATAAAACACTTAGGATTATACCAAACCAAGGAGGTGAAAGACAAGGAAAACTACAAATCACTGCTGAAGGAAATCATAGATGACACAAACAAATGGAAACACATCCCATGCTCACGGATGGGTAGAATCAATGTTGTGAAAATGACCGTACTGCCAAAAGCAATCTACACATTCAACTCAATTCCCATCAAAATACCACTATCATTTTTCACAGAACTAGAAAAAAAATCCTAAAATTCATATGGAACCAAAAAAGAGCCCGCGTAGCCAAAGCAAGGCTAAGCAAAAAGAACAAATCTGAACGCATCACATTACCTGATTTCAAACGACTATAAGACCATAGTCAACAAAACAGCATGGTACTGGTATAAAAATAGGCACATAGACCTATGGAACAGAATAAGAGAACCCAGAAATAAACCCAAATACTTATGGCCAACTGATCTTCAAAAAAGCAAACAAAACATAAAGCCGGGAAAGGACACCCTATTCAACAAATGGTGCTGGGATAATTGACTAGCCACACGTAGGAGAATGAAACTGGATCCTCATCTCTCACCTTATACAAAAATCAACTCAAGGTGGATCAAGGATTTAAATCTAAGACCTGAAACTATAAAAATTCTAGACAATAACATCGGAAAAACCCTTCTAGACATTGGCTTAGGCAAGGATTTCATGACCAAGAATGCAAAAGCAAATGCAATGAAAACAAAGATAAATAGCTGGGACTTAATTAAACTAAAGAGCTTTTGCATGGCAAAAGGAATAGTTAGCAAACTAAACAGACTACCCACAGAGTGGGAGAAAATCTTCACAATCTATACATCTGAAAAAGGACTAATATCCAGAATCTACAACGAACTCAAACAAATTAGCAAGAAAAAAACAAACGATCCCATCAAAAATTGGGCTAAGGCGATGAATAGACAATTCTCAAAGGAAGATATATAAATCCAGCAAACGTATGAAAAAATGCTCAACATCACTAATGATCAGGGAAATGCAAATCAAAACCACAATGTGATACCACCTTAGTCCTGCAAGAATGGTCATAATTAAATAATAATAATAATAATAGATGTTGGTGTGGATGAGGTGAACAGGCAACACTTCTACACTGCTGGTGGGAATGTAAACTAGTAAAACCACTATGGAAAACAGTGTGGAGATTCCTTAAAGAACTAAAAGTAGAACTACCATTTGATCCAGTAATCCCACTACTGGGTATCTACCCAAAGGAAAAGAAGTCATTATATGAAAAAGATACTTGCACATGCATGTTTATAACAGCATAATTCTCAATTGCAAAAACGTGGAACCAACCCAAATGTCCAATGAGTGGATAAATAAACTGTGGTGTATATATATCTATAAAGTAAAAAGGGAGAGGAGGCTTCACTGAGTCCCAAAGGTCAAATGGGTCCAAATGGGGATATGGAGGGTAACGTGGGTGGAGGGCATGAAAGAACACAGGATATTCAGAAAATGCAAATTGTTCCATATGGCTTTGGCCAAAAAGACAGTGGAAAGCAATCAAGTCAAGAGCAGCTCTTGCTGGGCCTGGTGGCATGCACCTGTAATCCTAGCTACAGAGGAGGCTGAGGCAGGAGAATCTCTTAAGGCCAGGAGGTTGAGGCCAGCCATGGCAACACAGCAACACCCCATCTCTAAAATAATATTTAAAAATTAGCCAGGCAGGGTGGCAACCACCTGTAGTTCTAACTACTTGGGAGGCTGAAGCTGAAGGATTGGTTGAGGTCAGGAGTTCGAGGTTACAGTGAGCTATGATTGCATGACTGCACAACAGCATAGGTAACAGAGTAAGACTCTGTACTAAAAACAAATTTGTTTAAAAGAGAAGCTCTTGCAGGCAGCAGTAGAGACAGAAAAGCTTCTGGGGAGAATGGTTTGGAGAGTGAAGTAGAAAGAAAGGATCTTAGAAAGGTAGACGAATACCTCAGCAAATGACTGTTGCAAAAAGAGCAAAAATGCAAAATACCTTGTGCCAAAGGCTTATTATTTAGACCAATACTTCCAAATGTTACTGTGCATACAATTTCACCTGGAGTCTTATTGAAATGAAGATTCTGATTCAATAGGCATGGGATGGGCCTGAGATTCTGCATTTCTAACAAGCTCTCAAGTGATGCTGATGCTGCTGATCCATAGGCCAGACTTCGAATAGCAAGGGTTTAGAATGTATCATGGTTTGTCCCAAGTCATTTATGTGATTGCAAAGGTAAGCTCTCATCCCATCTTTGAAAATCCACCCCCTATTACTAATATTTTCAAAGAATCTGCTTTTAAAGCTTCATATAGGATGTTCCTTAACCCTTTATTGCACTTAAACCCTAGAATTAGATGAAAAGAAAATCAAATTTCATTCTTTCCTCTTCTTTCAGGATGAATATCTTCTGGGATCTCATTTTCTCTTTTACCAAATATAGCGTGTCTTCCAAAAGAATATTTTATAATTTGGTTCTCACATTTCGTGAACATTTTATGGATACGCTATACAGTTCCTCTAATAAAGAAGTCGTATAACTCAGTAGATCATGAATTACTTGGAATCTGTAGCTAGATTTTGGAGAATTTTGTACTTCCCATAGTACCAAATATAGAGCTTTGTAACAGTGAATGCTCATATCTGTCTATTGAATAATACATATATAGTCTGTTGTTTCAAAAGAATTTCATGACTACATAGAAACTGAGTGTACACATAATGTTTTTTCCTCATGTGCATGTAAATTTTGCATTTCAAAATACTGGGCTTCTTTCACTTCCAATGGGAGTTTTGCACACAGTCTATAAATCTTGCTGTTAAGACATTTTCCTTCATTATCCTAAATTTATCTTAATTTCAATCCAATTAAAAACTGTTTACTAGAGTTTTCCCCTCATATAATTGAGCACAGTATAGTTGATTTTTTAACTGTAAACATACATCTGTGAATAATTCCTAAATGCCACAGTATATAGGAGATTCTGCAGCATAATGGAAGTAATTTATTTCCAAATTGCTCCCATTTCTCTTATGACTTGCTTGCAAAGCTTTATTAAAATCAAGTCCAGCAGGTATGACAAGAGGCTGACCTCGTTTCCTAAGCATTATGCCTGCTGCCTGTGCAAAAGACTCCTAAGGCTTTTGCATAGCTCATAAATGCATGTCTATCTCTGAAGCTATGTCTCTAGTTACTGATCACAGTGAAAAATACCAGCAATAAAGAGAAATGTTTAAAAGCCTGGAATCCAGAGTAAGACTGTAGAGGTTCAGATTCTCTTTCTACCATTCATCTGTAAAGTTGAATAATAACAGGAGATACTTCACAGGATCATTGTGAGGATCAAATGAGCTGATGCGCATTAAGAACGTGATTAGTAGTTATTAATATAATTAGTATTAAGGTAATTTTTAATTCTTACCCACTTCTATAGCAGCCAATTTCCAGGCAATAGATAGAATTGCCACAGACAGTAAAAACTAAACACCATCTGCAAAAAGAGTATAGCAACCATAACATGGTCTGTCTGGTCATCTTCGTGGTCCAATGTGATTGGTCAGCCAATCAAATTCATCTTTCAGAAAAGAATCTTTTAATATTTCCTAAACCAGCTTATTGTTTTACTCTGTGTCTCAATAGACCTAGGTTTTCTATCGGACAATTTGAACAATGTGTCCATTGGATCTGATTCATCAAATTGGTATTGAACATCCACTGTGTGCAAGGTACTCAGCAATACCAACTTGATACCAAGATGTGTGGAAGATACAACAATGAATATTTATTCAATAGCTATTAAATGCCTTTCTATATGCCAGGCACTGAGCTAGGTGATGATGATATACAAGAGAGAAGGTACATATAGTTTCTGTCCTTGGGGACCTTCTAGTCTAGAGGGAAAAAATAAACCACAATTATAATGAAGTCTCAGTGCCGTGCCAGGGAAGGACAAAATGCAATGGGAAAGAAGAGCAAGATAAGCAGGAGGCCTAGGAAGGTGACCAGGTGGAAGTGACCATAAGTTGAGAACAAAGCATGAGTAGGAATTAGCCAGGTAAAGAGCTAGGAAGAGCACTAGGGAACAGCACAGGGAAATGCCCAGGCAAGCGAAGGCCCCACAGGCTTCCCTGAGAAAGCAGTAGGAGTTAAGTAGGACTGCAGTGTAAGGTGTAGTGCAAGAGGGGAAATGAGGGAGAGATGCTGATAGCACCTGGTAAGCCATGGTAAGGAGCTGAGAATTTATCTCAAGGGTAGTGGAAATACACTAAAGGTTTTGGCAGGGGAATGAGATGATCAGATATACAGGCATCGTAGAAAAATCACTCTGACTGCAGAGTAAGGAATAATAGGTAAAGGGAGGGCTGGGAGCAAGATTTGAGTGAGGAAAGCCAAATCAATTGCTGTGAGGGGAAAAGCAAGAGCCAGAGATGGCCTGGACTCAGAGAGGGTCATGGAAATATAAAGAAGTGAAGGGGCTGGGCGCAGTGGTTCACGCCTGTAATTCCAGCACTTTGGGAGGCCAAGGTGGGCAGATCACCTGAAATCAGGAGTTTGAGACCAGCCTGGCCAACACAGTGAAACCCCTTCTCTACCAAAAATACAAAAATCAGCCAGGCATGGTGGTGGATGCCTGTAATCCCAGCTACTCAGGAGGCTGAGGCAGGAGAATTGTTTGAACCCAGGAGGTGGAGGTTGCAGTGAGCCAAGATCTCGTCATTGCACTCCAGGCTGGGTGACAAGAGTAAGACTCTGTCTCAAAAAAAAAAAAAAAAAAAAAAAGAAGGATTTCAAGAGATATTGAGAAGAGAGAATCAAGAACAGTCCGTAACTGATGAGATGTAGCGGGTGTGGAAGAAGAAAGAATCAAAGATGACTTTGAGATGAGAAAGAGGACATGAAGTACAGAACAGTACAGAGCCTCCTGGTCTTTGTTGTATGGAATAGGAGTTAGGACAGAATATGATCACTGACATAATAGAAATGCAAAAATGCAGGAGTGGCATGAGCAAATAAATCCTTAGGGATGAGGGGTTCAGAAACATCTTGAGAGGCATTGGAGTTGGTTAAGATTAGTGGGGACTGGTAGTTTAGAGATGCTGAAAGGATATTTCCATTCTCCAGTGATGCCAGTCCTATAGCTTGGATCCTTTTCAGTGGCCAGTGTCCTCAGGGCAGAAGAGGCTTTCAGGGAAAGGTACTTCCATCTGTTCATCAGGACCTGGAATTCCTGCCTGAAAACATCTGCGGCACCACGTAACATTTCTTGAGCTGTAGATATTTGAGGTCATGTCCAGGTCTTTGACGGTTGGGGAATTACTGTTCTGAAAGAGTACTTAGTGAAGGGCTTGCCAAAGGTATCAGTACAAATCACTTTCCCTACCCCCCTAAAGTTTCTTTCTTTTTAAAAGACACAAAAGCCAAATTTTGATATAATTTTTAAAGATTTTTCCATACCAGATTTTGAAGTGGATTTTGATGCAATATCAGACCTCAAAGAAACAGATACTGCTCTCAGCCTAGATTCTGAACACTGACCCTTTCTCCTTCAGCCCTACTAACCTTAGCCCCACAATCAGAGCTTTCAGCAGTGCTCTGAAGGCCCAGAGAGGAGTTATCCTGACTTAAATTGCCATCCCAGCACATGTGGGATATGTCTTTAACCACAAAATATGTTTTATTTAAGGCCTTTCCTCAATTGTGAAAACTTAAATTTAATAAGGATTGAAAAAGCCTATAAATCAAACACAATAAAATATTAAATTATGCACCTTACTCTAAGTGGGGTACATATATTTTATCATCGAAAGTGTGGGTCTGGACATTCTGTAAATTCTGGTTTCTCGGGCAGACTGGGAGTTGGAAAACAAAGATGCATTAGTTTTCAATTTACAGAACATGATGTTAGTGATTACATTAACTTAATCTAATATTATTTCCCATATTTAAAGACAGAATGAGAACCTTGTGTTTAGATTGTTGTTGGCTTGAAAAAATATAAATGTGAATTTATGTGTGTGAGTGTGTGTGTATGTGTGTGCATACATAAAGAAATAAGGACCCGGCTGGCTTTCCATATAATAGGCCACGTTATTAGTACAGCTGCACATTCTGTGTCTCAGGGGATTAGAAACTCAGCCTAAAATCTCATTTAATTACAGAGCATTGACTACCATGGACCTCTTGCATCTGGACCCAGGAATAATAGAGAACATTTTCTCTGAATGGTTTGTAGTGTTCAGGATAGAAACACAGGTAGTTCAATTTTTAACATTTGGTTAAAACGCAAAAAGCAAAAGTTCACAGATGGTTAGCTCAGCCTATTAAATAATTTTACCAAAGTTCCTTGATTCTCTTTTTCTTTGGAGGCTTAAAAAGTGCAATTTCTTTCCCTTTTGGATGCGGAGGTGAAAGGGCACAAAATGACTTAGTTCATCTGTAAATGACCGTAACAATAGTCCCTACCTCAGAAGTTACCATGGAGAGGAAGCCAGATAACATGAGTGAAAGGACATCCCAAAATATCAAATGCTATTCAATGTTAGTTAAATAGTATTATTATCATTACTCATTTACTCCTTTATTTATTTTTAAAAATAACCTTTTGAGCACCTACTAAGAACGAAGCACAGTTCTATATGAAGAAAATGTAGTGGTGAATATGGCAGACATGACTTCTGCTCTAATGCAATTTCCATTCTACTGAGGCAGACAGATGAACAAATTAGATATTCCACAGAGAAAAGTACTGTGAAAAATATGAAACAGGATAATATGATAGACAGCGGCTGTGGCATTTCTTTGGAACAATCCCTCTGAAAAAGTAACATTTGAGCTGGAGACTAAATGAATTAAATGATAAAAGCAAGCCAGCCATTGGAAGAACATTCCAGAGAGAAAGTAAAGCAAATGCAGCGGCCCTAAGCTGGGCTGGATTGAGGACAAGAGAGGACCTCAGTGGCTCAGGGGCAGTGAGTGGGGAGAGACAAACAAGCTGAGGCTTGAGGGAAGGCCTGTGGCCCAATAGGCAGGGCCAGCCTTGCAGGCCACAGCAGAAGCTGGACTAAATCCCAAGAGCTGTAAGAAGCCACTGGAGGATTTTAAGCAAGGAAGAGATAGATTCTGAGTTGTGTTTAAAATGAAAGTTACTCTGGCTCCTGTATGGAAAATGGATGAGTTGGGTGGTGGAGAGAAGAGTACCCAGAGTTGTAATAAAGACATGAATTAAGAGGCTATTACAATAGCTGAGGAGAGAGGAATGATGGCGGCAGTAGGGCGGTTGCAAGAAGACAGAAAAACAGGCAATCAAAGTAGAGGGGTCAGGCTGGAAGCTTCATAGATGACCTAGAGTTCCAGGCAGAAGTTCAGGGTAGACTTGTAAAAGTCATCAGCAAAGTATTGTAGTGACTGAATTGTCCAACCCATGGCTCACAGGTTGCATGCAGCCCAGGATGGCTTTGAATGCGCCCAACACAAATTCATAGACTTTCTTAAAACATTATGAGTTTTTTTTTGTTTGTTTTTTGTTTTTGAGCTAGAGACTCACTCTGTCACGTAGGCTGGAGTGCAGTGGCGCAATTTCGGCTCACTGCAAACTTTGCCTCCCAGGTTCAAGCAATTCTCCTGCCTCAGCCTCCCAAGTAGCTGGGATTACAGGCATCCACCACCATGCCTGGCTAATTTTTGTATTTGTAGTAGATACAAGGTTTCACCATGTTGGCCAGGCTGGTCTTGAACTCCTGACCTCAGGTGATCCACTCGCCTTGGCCTCCCAAAGTGCTAGGATTATAGGTGTGAGCCACTGCACCTGGCCAAAACATTATGAGATCTTTTTGCAATTTTCTTTTAGCTCATCAGCTATGGTTAGTGTTAGTATATATTACATGTGGCCGAAGACAATTCTCCTTCTTCTTCTTCTTCCGGTGTGGCCCAGGGAAGCCAAAAGATTGGACACCCCTGATTTAGAGGAAAACAGAGGAGGAAAATCCAGCAAAGGAGCAACCAACAAGAGGCAGGGAGAAATCTAGGAAAGTATGCTCTAAGAGCCAAGAGAAGAAAGTGCTAAGGAGGGGCAGTTAAGAAGGAAGGAAGTGGTCAATGAGACAAGCGTAGTTGGAATAAGGAGGAAGATGAGTACCCAGAAGAGGTCATTGGATTTGGTAATGTGGAAATCATGGATGACCTTTAAAAGGAAACTAAACTCTAATTAAGGTGGGCTGGGAAAACACCTGAGGAATGTAGAAAACAATTTTAGACAACTCTTCTGCAAAGTTTTACTATGAAGGATCAAAGAAATGAAACATAGGTCAAAAATATTCTTGTTAGAGGCATATGAAAAAATGCTCAACATCACTAATCATCTAAGAAATGCAAATTAAAACTACAATGAGCTATCATCTCATCACATTTAAAATGGCTTTCATCCAAAAGACAGGCAATAATGAATTCTGGCAAGGATGTGGAGAAAAGAAAACCCCTGTGCACTATTGGTGGGACTTTTCCCACTTACTCATCAAAGATTGATGAGTACATCAACTTTGGAGAAAAGTATGAAGGTTCCTCAAAAAACTAAACATAGAACTACCATATGGCCAGAAATCCCACTGCAGGGTATATACCCGAAAGAAAGAAAATCAGTATATCGAAGAGATATCTGCACCCTCATGTTTATTGCAGCGCTATTCACAATAGCCAAGATATGGAATCAACCCATGCCATCAACAAACAAGCAGATAAAGAAAATGTGGTACAAACATATACACAATGGAATATTATTTAGCCAGAAAAGGAATAAAATCTTGTCATTCGCAACAACATGGATGGAACTGGAGGTCATTATGTTAAGTGAAATAAGCTAGACACAGAAAGATAAATATCACATGTTCTCACTAATATGTGGGAGCTAAAAAAAAATGAACTCATGCAGATAGAGAATAGAATGATGATTAGCAGAGGCTAGAAAGGGGAGCGGGGAAGGAGGGAATAAAGATGAGGTGGTTAATGGGTACAGAAATACATTTAGAGGAATAAGATCTAGTGTTCAGCAGCACAACAGAATGACTATAGTTAATAATTAATCATATATTTCAAAATAACTAAAAGAGTGGAATTAGAATGTTCCTAACACAAAGAAATGATAAATGCTTGAGGTGATAGATATCCCAATTACTCTAGTTTTGGGCTCAAGGAGTTCAAGGCTGCTGTGAACTCTTATTGTGCCACTGCACTCCAGCGAGAGTGACAGAGCAGAAGACCCTGTCACAAACAACAACAACAACAAAACTAGTCAATAACTTTGTTTTTTATTGCTTTGGTGTTTTCTACCTATACTATGCACAAAATAAAAATGGTTGGCTGACTTTCCCTTGAGAAACATTTCAACCGGAAGCATTAGGTAAAGTCACTAAATACTGGGTCATCTTGAAATTTACACATGTCACTAAAATAATACTGTGTGGATAAAGACAAATCAACAGTTTAAGTGAAAAGCAGAAACAACCCCCATGACAATCCTAAACAGAGATTTTTTTTAAGCATTCAATTTTATAAAAGAAAAACAGAGTAGCAGGTTTTTTTAGCTGCCAAGTCAGTTTCATCAGATACTCCTTCACCATACATTTAATTTCATCTAAAAAATTTTGTCACCTAAGTGAGTAAGATAATTTTCTTAATCAAAATATAAAAATGCCAAAGAGGTAGCTTGAATAATGATAGAATACAGTCCTTCATTTATAGTTTTAGTCATATTTTATAAAGTGCCTATAGGAAGTACTCTAGGGAAAGGAAACTAACCTTTTGCTTACTTACCATGTGCTAACCACTATACTTGATGCTATATTTACATTAACTTGCTTAGTACTCACTACTACCCTACAAGATATAACCTGTCTACAATTTAGAAATGAAAAGACTGGCTCAAAGTTTAATAAAACCAATTCAGGTTTACATAGTGATATTGGTGGAGTAGCAGATTTGACCTCAGGTCAGTCTGTCTAAAGGTGCTTCTCACTTCTTTACATTACTTATTTTACATACACGAGAGCAAGATAAGCAGACCATTTCCACCCCACACAAGGCTGAGTATCATAAGATACACTCCTGTACATGTCGAATCCTTTTGTAGAATTTTACACATTTGTTTAACGATAAATTCCTCCTTAGAATCTACAGTCTGTAGGCTCCATGAGGTCAGATCCTCTCACTTACTACTTTATAAAACCTCTGTACTTTGCACATAGTACTTGCTCAAATATCTATTAACTGATACCCTTTAAGGAGATTCATAACTTAAAGAAAATACCAGATGAATATACAGTGATTCAACATCCACAAAGCAAGCTACTATCTGTCAGGAGACTCATGTCTTGAAAGGTAGCCTGTCTCTGATACAACTCTAAGGCAGATTTTGCCAGGTACATGAAGGTCAGCAAATTCTGTGCCTTTCATTCCTGCCAAACCTGGTCACGACCTCAAAATGTAAGCTTCTCCTGACAGCTGTCCTCTTCAGTCAGTTTAGCTCCTCTGCGCTTCCCCTCTTCTGACCCAGCCCCAATTCCTCCTCTCCTTCAAAAGCATCTGACCCAGCCCCAATTCCCCCTCTCCTTCAAAAGCATCATGTCCCATAACCGTTTGAAACTTGTTTCAGAGTAAACAGACTTCCCTCTACTCTTAGCTGCTACATAGAACACATGCTACACTCCTCACCTTACTGAAATTTGATGCATCTCCCAAGGCTACTGCTGTGGTGGCCCTCTCAAGGGCCATATTCCCATGTTCCATATTTGGTAGTTCTAAGAGGTGGCTCCTGTGTTCTTTTCACTCCCCAGTGCAGCTTTCAAACCAATATTTCCAAGTCCTGGAGTCTAAAAAAAGTTTGTTGTTTGAGAATAATGGCAACTCCTCCCCTTCAACCGTCAACCACCAACCACCTAGTCATGGTTTTAGTCAAAAATTTTGGCCCCTGAATCATAATACTTATCTCTACCTAAGTCCTGTCCAGGTAACTATCCCAATCAATATCCATATGTGACATGTGCTTACCTTATAAACCCCACTCCACTTCCTCACCTACTCTCATACCTCAGACATTGGCATCATTCTCTAAAGTAATGAATTTCAGTGTGTCACTGTCTAATAACAGGATCTTTCCAGCTTTAACTCCCTCATTCCCACTATGCCTATCCTGGAACTTCAATTCTCTCCTTTCTCTCCATCCTTTTGTGTTCAGCCTAGACCTCATGATCCATCGTGTCATCCCTCTTTAACACTCTTCCCCACAACCTTGTCCCACATCCTTCTGTCACTCTATCCTTGTAAAATCCTATCTTTAACTTCCATGGTCTACTGGCTCATAATAGAGAATACACATTCACAGTGCATGTTGGTGTCCCTTCACATTCTAGATGTTTAATTTTTGCTTGGTTTTCAGCATAACCTATAAATCCTTTATATATTCCTAGCCAGTTTTCTCTCCTTAAATAATAATTTCAAAACCTCATCAATCTTCTCAGGCAGCATGTTCAAAACCCATCTCTCTGTCAAGGCATGACCTCACTTTCTACTTCAGAAACAGTGAAGACATAAGCCTATGAGACTTCCTTCAGTCCCCCACTCTCAGATCTATAACATTAGCTAAATCCACCCTTGTCCTTTTCACTTTTTCTGTCTCAGTGGAAGACTTGATCCTCCTGAAGCTAATCCTTAGACTTATGCTGTGGTGTCCATTTCCCAGATCCGCAGAGATACAACTCCATCAATTATTCCTTTTTGTCTTACCTCTTCAATCTCTCCCTCTCTGCTATTTTGTTCCAATTAGCATATACACATGCTTAAGTCTCTCAGTTGATCTTACATTCCCTCTCTCTAGCCATGTGCCCCCCTCTGCTTCACAGTCAACTCTCAGAAAAAATGCTTATAGCCATTCTGTCAATTTTACTTCCAACTAAGTTTTCTATTAATAACAAATACACTGCAACCACTCTTGCCAGTAACCAGTGATCTCCTTGCTGCCATTCGGTGGGTGGGGTTCTGTACTTATCTTACTCAATCTCTTATAGATGTCTTTCTTCTTGAGACACTTTCTTCCATTGATTTTCTATAACATTACACTCTCCAGGTTTTCTTACTATATCTGCCTTCTATCTTCCTCCAACTACCCTGTAGGTGTTGTTCTACTATAAGAACCCATCGTTGGCTGTCTTCTCAATCTACATATTCTTGCTTAGTAATTTACCAATTCCTATAATATCTACCATCATCTATATCTGTTGTCCTTAAACTTTTTTGGGTCATGAACCCCTTTGAGAATCTGATGAAAATTCTGGACCTTGTCCCTGAAAAAGGAAAGGAATATACAACCATACTTTTTCTGGATAATTTTAGAATGTTCTTGGACACTCTGAAGCTTATCAATGAACCTTTCAATAAGTATTTCTGATCCGCTGTGCCAACAACTCCCAAAATTTATCTGCATTCATCCTTCTCGAGCAAGCCCTGAAAATTAGGCTGCCTGCTTAATATCTTTAATTGGAAATCTGTATTAGTCAGGGTTCTCTAGAGGAACAGAACTAGTAGGATATATATATATATATATATATATACACACACACACACACACACACACACACACATAAATATATATATTTGTGTGTGTGTATACATATATATATTTGGGAGTTTATTAAGTATTAACTTACAAGATCACAAAGTCTCACAATAGGCTGTCTGCAAGCTTAGAAGTAAGGAGAGCCAGTCTGAGTCCCAAAACTGAAGAACTTGGAGTCCAATGTTTGAGGGCATGAAGCATCCAGCATGGAAGAAAGATGTAGGCTGGGAGTCTAGGCCAATCTCACCTTTTCACATTTTTCTACCTGCCTTATATTTGCTGGCAGCTGATTCGATTGTGCCCACCAGACACCAGATTAAGGGTGGATCTGCCTTCCCCAGCCCACTGACTCGAATGTTAATCTCCTCTGGCAACACCCTTACAGACACACCCAGGATCAATATTGTGCATCCTTCAGTCCAATCAAGTTGACACTCAGTATTAACCATCACAAGTCTACCCTTTGTCAACTTGAACCCACACACATCTCCTGAGATCATAGATAATCTTCAAATAAAGACAATAATAAGGTCATAATTACACCTAACATAATACAACTATCCTTCGTACAACCGGAAATGCACCAATCCCCAACCCAAATACTATTATATAAAGTTAACAAGATTTAAATGCTGATATGAAGTTAATAAATCTTATGTCACATGATAAAGGAAAAGGAAATAAAATGAAGATATTTTCTTAGTACACGTGTATACATACACAAACATGTTTTTAACAAAATAAGGAAGAAATACTCATGACAGTTACAGTCCTTATTTCTACAGCTGGTCATGTGGTCATAGCGGGTATTGATGACTACCTTCTTCTACCACCCATTCTGTATTCCCTTTGCCTTCAGCAAGCAGCTAAGCAGGTCATGGTTTTTTTCTTGGTGGAGTGACCAAACCTTCATTTCTGAGGGGTCTGGAACATTTGTAATCCTGGCTGGATTGAGCTGTTGTAGTTTCCCGTTGACCTTAATCACAAGACATGGTAATACTAAGAGACATCCTAATGGATCTTCTGTATTCCACGCATCCTCTTCCTTCCGTTATGGAGTAGTAGACTGATTTCATCTTGATAGTCGAGATCAGTCACCCCAGCCAACACTGTAACTCCTTTTTTAGCCCATTGACTTAAAGGTAGGAGGAGCTTAAATGTCCAGGTGGCAATCTTAATTTCCAGTTTAATGGAATTGTTGTTGTGTCTCCTGGTGGCAGTGTTCCTCCCTCTGGAACTAAAACCTCTAGGCCAGCAGAACATAATGTCATGGGAACATGGGAAACAAAAATTTTGCTAGTGGATCACTAGGGGTGATGGTGAGTGGTACCACTTCCATTTCCACCCCTCGATTCCTGAACCTGTGAATCCCGCCTATGGAAGAAACAGTATCACATAATGGACAGTGGTTCAGAGTATACATGGCCTTCTGGAGAACTTTGCCCGTCCCTGCAAAGTATTGTCATCTAGTTGGCATTGTAATTGTGACTTCAGAAGGCCATTCCACTGTTCTATCAATCCAGCTGCTTCAGGATGATGGGGAAAATGGTAAGACCAGTGAATTTCACGAGCATGGGCCCACTGCTGCACTTCTTTAGCCATAAAGTTAGTGCCTTGGTCAGAGGCAAGGCTGCGTGGAATACCATGACAGTGGATAAGGCATTCTGTGAGTCCACAGGTGGTAGTCTTGGCAGAAGCAGTGTGTGCAGGATAGGCAAACCCATATCCGGAGTAAGCGTCTATCTCACTGAGGACAAACCTCTGCTTTTTTCATGATGGAAGAGGTCCGGTATAATCAACCTGCCACCAGGTAGCTGGCTGATCACCCCAAAGAATGGTGCCGTATCGAGGGCTCAGGGTTGGTCTCTGCTGCTGGCAAATTGGGCATTCAGCAGTGGCTGTAGCCAGATCAGCCTTGATGAGTGGAAGTTCATGTTGCTGAGCCCATGCATAACCTCCATCCCTGCCACCATGGCCACTTTGTTCATGGGCCCACTGGGCAATGATGGGGTGGCTGGGGAAAGAGGTTGAGCGGTGTCCACAGAATGTGTCATCCTATTCACTTGATTACTAAAATCCTCTTCTGCTGAGGTCGCCCACTGATGAGCATTCACATAGGATACAAATATCTTCACAGTTTTTGACCACTCAGAGTGATCCATCCACATACCTCTTCCCCAAATTTCTTTGTCACCAATTTTCCAATCATGCTTCTTCCAAGTCCCTGACCATCCAGCCAAACCATTGGCTACAGCCCATGAATCAGTATATAATTGCACATCTGGTTATTTCTGCTTCCATGCAAAGTGCACAACCAGATGGACTGCTCAAAGTTCTGCTCACTGGGAAGATTTCCCTTCACCGCTGTCCTTCAGGGATGTCCTAGAAAGGGGCTATAGTGCTGCAGCTGTCCACTTTCGGGTGGTGCCTGCATATCGTGCAGAACCATCTGTGAACCAGGCCCTAGCCTTCTCTTCCTCTGTCAGCTAATCATAGGGAACTCCCCATGAGGCCATCAGTGCAGGTTGGGAAAGAGAAGGCAGGGTGGCAGGAGTGGAGACCATGGGCATTTGAGCCACTTCCTCATGTAACTTACTTGTGCCTTCAGGACCTGCTCGAGCCCGATCACATATATACCTCTACAATTTGATGACAGAATGCTGCTGTGTGTGACCCACTTTATGGCTAGATGGGTCAGAAAGCACCCAATTTGTGATAGGCAGTTCAGGTCACATGGTGACTTGATGACCCATAGTCAAACATTCAGTTTCCACCAAAGCCCAGTAACAGGCCAAGAGCTGTCTCTCAAAAGGAGAGTAATTATCTGCAGAAGATGGCAGGGCCTTGCTCCAAAATCCTAAAGGTCTCCTCTGTGATTCACCTATCGGGGCCTGCCAAATGCTCCAAACAGCATCCCTATCTGCCACTGACACCTCGAGGACCATTGGATCTGCTGGGTCATGTGGCCCAAGTGGCAGAGCACCTTGCACAGCAGCCTGGACCTGTTGCAGAGCCTTCTATTGATCTGGACCCCACTCAAAACTGGCAGCCTTTGGGGTCACTCAGTAAATGGGCCAGAGTACCACACCCAAATGAGGGAAGTGTTCCTTCCAAAATCCAAATAGGCCCACTAGGCACTGTGCCACTTTATTGGTTGTAGGAAGGGCCAAATGCAGCAACTTATCCTTCATCTTAGAAGGAACATCTTGACAGACCCCACACCACTGGACCCCTAGAAATTTTACTGAACTAGAAGATCACTGGATTTTAGTTGGTGTTATTTCTCATCCACTTGCACACAAATATATAATTAATAAGTCCAGTGTGTTTGCTACTTCCTTTACTTCATCTTTCCTTATCTTGAGTTTTCTGTTCTGATTAATGCGATTTTGGTTATAGTCTCTTCTCGGGTATTTTCCTCTGATTCGGTGCAATAACATATTCAGTAATTCTTTGTATATTTGCAAACACTTTTGCACTCCTGTAGATGAATCTCAGAAACTCAACGAGCAGAAGAAGCCAGACACACAAATGAGGACATGCTGGATGTTTCTATCTATAGAAGCTCCAGAACAAATAAAACTACTATATGTGATAGAGGTTAGAATAACAGTTACTTTTGGAAGCAGAATGAGAGAGCCTGCTGGGATGCTGGAAATGTCTGTTTCTTGCTCTGTGTGGAGGTTACCTGTGTTTATACATAGGTAAAAATCATCAAGCTGTCTGCTTCGGGTTTTTGCACTTAACTGTATGTGAAATATACTTCTAAAAAGAGAAAGAGTCTTAAAAAGGGAAGAAAAATTAATAAATCAAGAGCCTAACTGGAAGAAAATTGTAAAAGAAGACCAAAAATAAGCCCTTCCTCTATTAAAAAGCATCAGAACAAAAACTGTTAAAGTTCCAGCAAAACTCTCAGGAACAAATATATTTAATGCTACTTAAAATGTTCTAATTTTTAGGCCAGACACAGTGGTTCATGCCTGTAATCCTAGCACTTTGGGAGACAGAGGCTGATGGATCACCTGAGGCCAGGAGTCCAAGACCAGCCTGGCCAGCATAGCAAAACCTCGTTTCTACTAAAAATAAAAAACATAGGCGTAGTGGCCACCATCTGTAATCCCAGCTACTTGGGAGGCTGAAGCATGAGAATCTCTTGAACCCGGGAGGCAGAGGTTGCAGTGAGCCGAGATCAAGATTGTGCTACTGCACTCCAGCCTGGGCAACAGAGCGAGACTCGGTCTCAAAAAAAAAAAAAAAAAAAAAAGAATAAAATGTACTTATTTTTAGAAGTAGATAAATGAAAAGTTTCCCAAATCATTCTACAACATAAAAAGGTGACCTCATATTTTTGGCCTGATTTTGGCCACAATATAGAAGTATCAAGTACCCAAATTCTTTTTTTTTTTTTCCTTTTGAGATGGAGTCTCACTCTGTCGCCCAGGCTGGAGTGCAGTGACATGATCTCGGCTCACTGCAGCCTCTGTCTCCCAGGTTCTAGCAATTCTCCTGCCTTAGCCCCCCAAGTAGCTAGGATTACAGGCGCACAACACCATGCCTGGCTAATTTTTGTATTTTCAGTAGAGATGGGTTTTCACCATGTTGGCCAGGCTGGTCTCGAGCTCCTGACCTCAAGTGATCCGCCTGCTCTGGCTTCTCAAAGTGTTGGGATTACAGACTCAAACAGACACACTTGAACTTGTTAGGAGACACTGAACTAGTCCTCTTTTTTTTTTTTTTTTTTTTTTTTTTTTTTGGCAGAGTCTCACTCTGTTGCCCAGGCTGGACTGCAGTGGTGTGAACTTGGCTCACTGCAACCTCAGCATCCCAAGTTTAAGCGATTCTCCTGCCTCAGCCTCCCAAGTAGCTGGGACTACAGGCACATGCCACCATGCCCGGCTAATTTTTGTATTTTTAGTAGAGACAGGGTTTCACTATGTTGGCCAGGCTGGCCTCGAATTCCTGACCTCAGGTGATCCACCCACCTCTGCCTCCCAAAGTGCAAATTAGCCCTCTTGATCCAGCCTTGCCTCCTTTTACTTTGGACTGCTACAAGGAGGGAAAAACTGAAAAGGCAGCTAAACTTCCCCATCCCCACCCTGAAGACCTGCAACTACAGATTAAGCTTGATCTGGGGGAAGGGAAACAGATTCGAACAATTATGAATGTACATGGTTGACATTTATCAAGTGAGCTCCAGTTATTTGATCACCATGCAAACAAGTCAAGGATTCATGAAAAGATTTTTCAAATTAAAGTATATTCAAAAGCTAGAAATCCATTGGAAAGCATGACACAACCAAGTTCAGGCAGCTCTCTTACAGTGTATAAACACGAATTTTCAGAAAGTTAAAAGTTAAACATTAAAAATTTTATTTTAAAGATCAGTGAGAACAATATCTGTTTATGTCAGTCCAGGTTACTCCTATGATACAAAAAGCATTTGCTATAACATGTTTATATTTCTTCACTAAAGGCCCACCTTTACTCTTTCTTTTTGACCTCTGTACAAATGAAACTTGTGAAGCAATCATTGCATCTGCTGGAGCTGGGAGTCTGTTTGCATTTCCATTCATCCCCTTGTTTCTGGGGGTTCCACATTCAGGCACAGAAAGAAAAAGCTAGTAGAGCAGCAGGCCTTGGTCTGAAATCAGCACTTACAGTATCAGCCCACGTAGAAACAGATCTTTTTGTAAGGTTGAATAGGGCTGATAAAATAATAGATTGTCCTGCTGTGTGGAAGCCATGGGAATGCAGCTAATGGCACTCACACAGGTCCCAGGAACCCACCTAGGAGCTGCAGCAAGAAACTTATGAAAAAGTAAGGTTTAAGCAAGGTGCTGTGGCTAAATTAACATAATATGTAAATGTGTATATGCTTGTGTCAGTAAGGCCTATGTGTATGTTGGGTCTTAACCATTAACACACACATTGGTTTGATATATCCAGCTTCTGTTTCAAGTTCTAGTACTGTCTAGCAATCTTTCTGGAAATATGCCCCACGTTTCAACCATACTTCTGCCAAGAGAACAGGCTCCCAGGGAAATGGCAGTGTGTATTCCATTAAAACCAATCAATTGTATTGTTAAACTATACAAATATTTCCATGCAATTTTCAAAAGAAATATAATTTTCTGAACAATATCACACAAATATCTTGAAACACACCACAGAAATCAAAACGTTCATTTGTAGTCCCCCAGCCCTTAGATTTCTGTCCGTGATTCCCAACTCATTCAGCATCTTAGGAACCAAGCAGGCATATTCTGTAGCTAGAATATATCAGGGCAACTTCAGCCTTTTCCCTACCCCAGGCAAAAGCCATCCTGTGCCTTTGGGCTCTATTCCTTATGTCCTAACAGACAAGAAAAAAAAATGCACAGGAAATGGCTTTGGATTCGGGAGGTGAAGGTGGTGGCAAGAAGAGCTGGTAACTATGCAGTGAGTAACTCATCAGCAAAATTAAAGTGTGTGTGCATGCGTGTGTGTCAGAGACAGAGAGACAAGAGGATACCTGCTTTAATAGGAAAGAATAAGTAGTTCTTGGTAAGGTCTAAATGATAAATATGGCCTCACAGTAAAGCCAAGTCTGCACGTGATATTTCTTTTTGTAAGACTTGTATTACCAAAACTTTTATTTTTATAAAGAATAGTGTCTTAAGTTAAATGGAAAAAGCTATAATGTTAGAATATAAATCTTTGGGCTTACTGAGCTGAAAAGGGAGATTGCCCTTCTGAAGACACTGGGGGAGGGCATTATATAGTGCTGCTCTCTCTATACCCCTGAAAATGGAATTATGATTCTACTTTATTTCAAAGCCTTCCCAGAATAGAGGGCTACGTGTGCTTCTGGTCCCTGTGTAAAGAATTAGAAAACTAAAAAAAAAAAAAAAAATAGAATTAGAAAATTAGTAAACAATTCAACCCCTTAGAGCATCCATGTTAGGACCTGAAAGGATCACACACTGGAGTAGTTGAAGGGGCAGCCAGGGACAACCAGCAGCCCCTAAAGCCCTGCTGGCTGGCCATGTCACACAATCTGCCCACAAGCCAAAGGAACTTGAGTTTGTACAGAGCTGAAGACAATAGGGCAGACTAAGCAGGCTTGGCCTTGCAACAAGAGCTGTGTGTCACACTCAACCTCCCCTTCCTCTGAAAGGCTTGGCAGCCTAGGGGACATGAAGGATACCAGTAGTCACTCTAGACATTTGGAGCTTGGCCGCTCTGCCCTATGTACCTCTAGTCTGTGCATCAAAAATGTGGGGTTGAGGAAGAACCTCAATATTAGAAGGTAATTTTCAGGTAGAAACAGGTGAGCAGAGTCTAACACCCATGTAACTGTATGTTCTATCACTTTTCAGCTTGCTCTCTGAGGTGTAGCTCCATTCTCACAATGCACCATGACCCAACTAAATTCTGCTAGGGATGCCTCTAAGCCACATTGGTAGTACTACTTGTTAGTACTACTTCTGAGCCTCTTGAGCTGCCCACAGTAAGTATTCAATAAATGTGCTTAAGAATACTATTCAGTCTCATGTTGGTTCTTACCTTTTCTTTGTAGCTATATCCTGTATCTCCATTAGGATTGTACACAGGGCCAACATATTACACTTCAACATCTCTTACAGGTCGTTACAAAGCACCATACTCATAGTCTTCTGTAAAGTCTTCTGTAAAGTCTTCTGAATCCTTAATGCTTGCCTGTACTGGCAATAGATGGGTAACATCTGTTGATGTTTCCTTCACTTACATTATTCAATACAGTAGGGCCATTTAAAGTTTCAGCTGCCAACAATGACTATTAGTTTAACACACCAGCCCCTACATGGAATTAGCCTTCCTTAATCCTAGTGGATAGCTCCAAGAAACAGAATATGTGATCAATTTTATAGGACATTTTGATCACTTATATCCTGTTACTGATATTTACAATAAAAACATTACCAAAATATTGTCCAGTAAATGAACACAATTTTTTTTCTTATTCCTTGTATTTAATCCATTTTTAAGGCCACTTTTGCTTATTTTGTTCTCTTTTCTGAAGTATTTCTAAGGTAAAATAAAAGAAATAACTCCTTTCAGGTAGTCTGTTTGGAATGAATTATCCAAAGGGTAACCCAACAATGTGTGAGCTTCCCTAGGCAATATGGCCATCCACCACTTTAAGGAAATAAAACATAAACAGATAAAGCAGTTAGCAGGTAATTACATGCATAAAAGAAAGATTTTCTGCTTTCCAGGGGAGAATGAGTGCAAGCTCCCCTGTTGCATTTGAACATGAATTTTAACTGTTAAATTTTGATTTGTATGAAAGTTTTTGTAAAGAGAGACACATCTATAACAATAATTCCTCCTACACCAGGATTTAGAGTTGGGCCACACAGACTCCTTAACTGGCAGAAGATTTGCATTTCAAGGCCTTTTTGAAAATACCAACCCCACACTGAAAAACCTACATGAACAGCCATTAGAAAAACCAATCCTGCTATGAACATCGTCTGCTAATTATAATGAGGAGGCCTAAGGGAGAATCTTCCAACCCTGGCCACTAATCCAGTCAGATTGCATCTGCATTTGAATGAGTGACAGCAGACCTCTCTACAGCTGTGACCCATTGGGGTCGCCGGCCAATCAAAGACTCAGTACGCAGCTGGGCCTGGTCATTTGTTCTCTCAGATCTTATCAAGCTTGACTCCTTTTCCCATTAGAACTCTCCTTTCTCACTTTCAGTCTCAATTTCCCTCTACTCAAAAACACCCAGAATAGAAAGGAGCTTAAAGGTCTTCTAATCCACTGATTGTCAAAATTGAGTTTTCTTCATAATCAAAGAATTCTTCCTTCAAGTTAAGGCTCACCCAGAAGCCTAAGAGATAAAAGAGTCATTTGGATGTGCTCTGGTCATGGAGGTAATGGGGGCTAGCAGCCCACCTGGGCACTGACCTGCCCTTCCCAGTAAGGACTTTAAGATAGAAATTCTATTCCCTCCATGCATGGATGAGGCATCTGGAGGGTGGACTGTTTTTCAATGGGGACATCCCTGGCATTTGTGGGCAGAAGCAGTCTTTACCACACAGGATTGGCCGATGCATAGTAGTCACTTAGCACCCCTGGCCCCCAGCTAAGTAACTGCAGTGCCCTCCCGTACAGGTGCTGACCGAATTCAGATACTGAGAGAGAGTGGTTCTGGTTCCACCTGGGCTGAGAATCATGTGATCTGGAGTGATTTGTCCAGGGTTAGTCAAAGGGCAGAGCCAGGATAAACCCAGGTTTCCTGATTCCCAGCCTATCCCTTCTCTCCAACATGTGGACTTTTCTGCCAACTACCATGCTTTCATCCCTCAGCCCTTTGGAGCTTTGTCCTAACAGCCAGGACCCGGTCTAATGTAATTCTGCTTCTACTACTCTGAGGCTGCCAGACCTTACTCCTTCTATTGCTGTTCCCATTGTGAGGCCCATGCAGGCTCTTCCATCTGAGAACTGACATTAATTTACCCACAGCGAAGACATCTCCAGCACTTTTTCAGTTTATGGTGAGCACAAATTCAACTCCAGGGCTATGTCCAACGCAGTTTCTCAGTGAAATGTGATTTTTCAATTCACTAACTCCGATACACTAATTTTTTTTCTTGTTTCCAAATTGTATTGTTTGATTCTAGATCATCTAGATTCTATATAACCATCTGTATAACCATGATTCTAGTAGATAAGTTCTTGGCTGCCATCCTGGTTGGATGCTAGAGAGATCTAGGTTTGAGTCCTCCTCCTCCACTGATCAGCTATATGAACCTTTAAAAGAGACCTGGCTTTTCTGAGCCTCAGTTTCCTCATTTATAAACTGGGGAAAAAAGGAAACTTCCCTTGCAGGAAGGGAAGTTCCTTGTATGGATTAAATGCATGTATAGTACTTAGCACTAGCAATTGCTGCCACTGTTATTACCACCATCACCATTTCCTCACCTTAGTGGAATTTGTTGGAGTACATTCCCCTAAGGTTTATAATGTTGTCACATGGAGGTGGCTGAGCGCCCCCATTCTAGATTCCATGTTCAGAGTTTCCCCTCAGCTTTCAAGCTTGCCCAGTAATATCAGTCAATTCTGGAAGAAAATGATAGATTCCCCTCTTCCTCCTCTAATAAGACGAGTAGACACCCCTGTGGTCATCCAAGAGATCTTATTTCCCGCTGATAGAGGGGTCGGCAAATATCCAGACCTTTTAAAATGGGTTTTTACCAACAGTCTATCAAGTCTCCAGAGGAAACTATCGTGTCTGAGACAGCCAGGATCCTTTATTACTGACAAGTTTGATCTGTGTGGTTGAAATCATTTTTGACAAGAAAAAAACAGGCTCAAGTACAACGAAATCATGACCCATCCACAGTGACCAATTTTCAAACTTCAAAATCCTCAATAGTGCTTAATTATTACACACAAAAACGAATTTCCATGGAAATTTGATGTACATTTTTGTCTTTTGCATTCAGTACTGAAAAACCAGTCAAACAATTTCAAAAAATCACAGCTATTAAGCCAAACTAAACCAAACACTTTGTTCTGAGATATTTGCCAAGTCGTTTCAGAGTACAATTTGCTTTGCTGAATCAATTAGTTTTTGCAAAGTTATATATGTGTAAAGCATTTGTTAGATGCCTGTTCAAAATCTATCAATGTGATTAGTGTTTTAAATGATATATAAAGATGTTAAGTGTATATATGAAAAAGTACACTTTATTGAAAATAGTTAAGACCCAATAAATCATAACGAATTCAATATTAAATTCCATGTTGGGATTTTTTGGATAGATCAGATTCAGCAGCTCTTCTGTTTTGTTTTGTTTTGTTTTTGAGACGGAGTCTCACTCTTTTCTCCCAGCCTGAAGTGCAGTGGTGCCATCTTGGCTCACTGCAACCTCCACCTCCCGAGTTCAAGCGATTCTTCTGCCTCAGCCTCTTGAGTACCTGGGATTACAGGTGCCTGCCACCACGCCCAGCTAATTTTTGTACTTTTAGTAGAGATGGGGTTTCGCCATGTTGGCCAGGCTGGTCTCGAACTCCTGACCTCAGGTGATCCACCCGCCTCAGCCTCCCAAAGTGCCGGGATTACAGGCGTGAGCCGCAGCACCTAGCCAGCAGCTCTTCTTAACAGAAAGCTTTTGTGTGTTTCTGAGGAAATTTTGCCCAAGGAAAGACTGCTGCAGATTCCCGAGCTACATTTCTTTGCTCTTTTTATTCTCAATGAAACAATAATTATTCAATTAATCTTGTCAACAAGTGGAGGCTGGTTTCATTTCAGTTGTTTACTAATTATTATTGGGTAGATCTTTAGATCCTTGAAAATGTTGTCCAATTGCCACAAACTACTAATGAAGCCAGGCTTGGTTAATTAGGGAATAAGAGCAATTAGCTTGTCAGCAGTTAATTCCGACAGTCCCTAGAGAAAGGCTACATTTAGGGATTCGTATCACAGGAGCTATTGACCTCTAAACCCTCCTCCTTTTCTGTCACTGCTGTTTAATGGAAAGTCACTTATTTTGTCAGGCTAATAACTGAGGTAATGAAGTATCCCATGGCTTCAGCTTGCAACTCTGTTTTTCTCTTGCTAATTTTAGAAAGTTTATAAATAGCTGAAAGGGTCTATTTTGGACATCATTAAAAGAGGAAACCCAAGGTGGGACTTCACAGAATCCATTGAGGTCTGCTGACCACCC